>NW_003571056.2:720632-761614 GCF_000001405.40 Homo sapiens
AGAACCCCTTAAAATTTGGTAACCTGAGTCCTCTGATTTGTTATTATAGGTTATTTAGTTTGCTTTTTTTTTTTCTTGAGACAGACTCTTCCTCTGTCACCCAAGCTGGAGTTCAGTGGCTTGAGCTCAGCTCACTGCAACCTCCGCCTCCCAGGTTCAAGCTATTCTGATGCCTCTGGTTTAGTACTAGAAACTCAAGCAGGAAAATTAGAATGGCTTCTTGTCACAATTACTCTGATAATGTTAATAATACCTGTTAGACATTTTGCACATTACATATGAAGAAGAGTTTGAATCTCAGATAAAAACAAAAATACATCAAAAATCTTTAATGTAAGCACAGAATTCAATCATCTCGTGTATGAGAGGTTGGATCTGAGACGTCTTTTGAGTCTGGTCGTAGTGAAGGACGCAAGGTGTCAATTCTAGTGAGAACAATTTCCAGGAAGCCATGTTCCGCTCTTGAGCGAGCACCCACTGGGCCTCATGCAAGGTAGAAAGAGCCTGCGTACGTCACCCTCCCATGATGTGGTCAACATGTAAACTGCATGGGCAGGGCGCCAAATAACATCCTGTGCGCTGCTGAGCTGAGCTGGGGCGCGGCCGCCTGTCTGCACAGACAGCACCATGTCGCTCATGGTCGTCAGCATGGCGTGTGTTGGTGAGTCCTGGAAGGGAATCGAGGGAGGGAGTGCGGGGATGGAGATCGGGGCCCAGAGTTGGAGATATAGGCCTGGAAGTGGAGTTATGGGCCTAGAGATGGAGTGATGGGCCTAGAAGTGGAGATCTGGGCCTGGAGTGGAGATATGGGCCTGGAGGTTGAGATATGGGCCTGCAGTAGAGATATGGGCTTGTAGTGGAGACATGGGCCTGGAGATGGAGATATGGGCCTGGAGATGGAGATATGGGCCTGCAGTAGAGATATGGGCCTGGAGTGGAGATATGGGCCTGGAGTGGAGATATGGATCTGGAGGTGGAGATACGGGCCTGCAGTAGAGATATGGGCCTGGAGTGGAGATATGGGCCAGGAGTGGAGTTATGGGCCTAGAGGTGGATATCTGGGCCTGGAGTGGAGATATGGGCCTAGGAAGGAGATATGGGCCTGGGTGTGGAGATATGGGACTGGAGAGGTGATATGGGCCTGGAGTGGAGATATGGGCTTAGGGTGGAGATCTGGGCCTGGGGCAGAGATATGGGACTGGATTGGAGATATGGGCCTAGGGTGGAAATATCAGCCTGGAGTGGAGATATGGGCTTGTGGTGGGGATCTGGGCCTGGAAACTGGGTCTCTGCACAGCCGACAGCCCTGTTCTTGGGTGCAGGTAGGCACTGAGGGTGAGTTTAACTTCAGCCCAGGAAGGGCCTGGCTGCCAAGACTCACAGCCCAGTGGGGGCAGCAAGGGAGTCCTGGTTTGCCTGCAGATGGATGGTCCATCATGATCTTTCTTTCCAGGGTTCTTCTTGCTGCAGGGGGCCTGGCCACATGAGGGTGAGTCCTTCTCCAAACCTTCGGTTGTCATCTCCCCACATAAGAGGATTTTCCTGAAACAGGAGGGAAGTCCTGTCAGGGAGTCTCTCATAAACTGGGAAGAGAGGACCCTGGGGTGCTCGGCCCACATTTCTGACCTTGCCTCCCTGGCCTCTCAACCCCTTGGCAGAGTCAAGTTCTGTGGGGACCAGGGTTAGACTGGGGTGCTCAAAGCTGGGGTGTGTGGTGGGGAAGTGGTAGGAACAGCAGATCCTCTGAGGACAAAGGTGTTACTCACACACTTCAGCGTTTCCATGATGGTAGGGGCTGCAGTGTGGCTGCTGTCATTCTACCAGAAGAGGTGGGAAACCACAGCCATGGCCCTGACATTCCAAATCCTCTGATGGGGGCTCAGTTGTTTATTTTCGTTCAGGCATCCGCTGATATCCACTCACAAAGGACATGCCCTCCACCTCATGTCTACCCTGTGTTGTTTTATGTGAGTAATCTTACAGTATTAAAATCTAGTAGGAGTCTCTTTACTCAGCACTTGCTCAAAGTTCTCAGCTGAGGCTTTTGTTGTAGGGAGACACCATGTCTTTGCGGGATGGGTCCTTCCTTCAGCCCTGGGCACCAAGGTGTGATAGTAGCCATAGAAACGTGGAAAGCGAGGAGAATCTTCTGAGCACAGGGAGGGAGGGGCAGTTCCACATCCTCCTCTCTAAGGCGGCGCCTCCTTCTCCCCAAGGTGGTCAGGACAAGCCCTTGCTGTCTGCCTGGCCCAGCCTTGTGGTGCCTCTAGGACATGTCATTCTTCGGTGTCACTCTTATCTTGGGTTTAACAACTTCAGTCTGTACAAGGAAGGTGGGGTGCCTGTCCCTGAGCTCTACAACAGAATATTCTGGAACAGCCTTTTCATGGGCCCTGTGACCCCCGCACAACAGGGACATACAGATGTCGGGGTTCACACACACACTCCCCCAGTGGGTGGTCAGCACCCAGCAACCCCCTGGTGATCGTGGTCATAGGTCAGAGGGCTCCTGTCTTGGATTCTCCTTGTCCCACCTCCTGAATCCCAGAGCTTCTGGTGGGCATGTCCTTGAGGGTCCCATCACGCAGGCCCTGACTGTATTTGTGGTAAAGGGGGATTGAATACAGGGAAATGGGTGCTGTGGTGGGAAGAATAATTGTCCCCAGTGATGACTACATTCTAATCCCTGGAGTCTGTGACTATGTATGTTATAGGGGAAGGGACTGAAGGGGAAGATGGAGCTCATGGGGAGACAGCCTGGACTGTCCCACTGGGCTCAGTGTAATCACAAGGGTGCACATGAAAGGAGGAGGAAGAGGGGAGTGGGGATTAGAGCAGTCCAGTGGAAGTCTTCACCAGCTTTGAAGGTGGAGGAAGGCCAAGAGCCATGAATGCAGGTGGCCTATAGAGGCTGGAAAAGTCAAGGAACTGATTCTCCAGAGTCTCCAGAGGAAACGAAGCCCTGCAGATGCCTTGATTTTAGCCCAGGAAAAATAGGGTCCAATTTCTGTCTCCAGTACTGGAAGGTGTCAGTGTGGTCTCTCCTGCTTCCATGCTTCTGATAATTTTGTACAGCAGCAACAGGAAACCAACACTGGAACCCAGGTCAAGGACAAGTTAAGAAACAACCCAAGGAAAGCCAGGCATGGTGGCAGGCGCATGTAATCCTAGCGACTCAGGAGGCTGAGGGCAGGAGAATCACTTGAACCCAGGAAACAGAGGTTGCAGTGAGCCTAGACCACACCACTTCACTCCAGCCTGGGTGAAGGAGTGAGACTCTGTCTCCAAAATTAATTAATTAATTAAAGAAACCAAACAAGGAGAAGGTTGGCTACCCTGAGATCAGCAAGGGTGGGATGATGATGCCACCACCAGGCTCCATCCACATAGGGAGGGGTTGATACTCCTCCAACCAGCACCAGGAGCCAGCCTATGGAAGCTGGCACCATGGAGAAGGCACAGGCATGGCAAGAGTGGCTCCCAGTCCCGACCAGGAACAGGGTGTGTGGACACTGGTGCCTGCCTTATTCATCAGTTCATACCTTCTGCCAAGGATTGCAATTCATCCAAAAGAGATTGAACAAGGCTGATAAGAGCCTGGATGTGCAGCCTATCCTGGTTCCTCTTTCACCCCCACATAAACAGCAGGAAAGACGTTAGTGTGAAATAGATACAACACCCCAAGAGATGAGGCTAAGCCCAGTGGGAAGGGAATCAGAGGCTACTAGAGACAGAGGGACAGAGAAGAGGGAGGGAGACAGATGGAAGGACCTGCACCAGGAGTTATGGGCACAGAAAAGAACATGAAGACACAGAGAGGAAGGAGAGAGACAGACACCAGCAAGGGGAAGCCTCACTCATTCTAGGTGCCATGGATGGGATGATAAAGAGAGACACCTTCTAAACTCACAACCTCTCTTCTTAGGAGTCCACAGAAAACCTTCCCTCCTGGCCCACCCAGGTCCCCTGGTGAAATCAGAAGAGACAGTCATCCTGCAATGTTGGTCAGATGTCAGGTTTGAGCACTTCCTTCTGCACAGAGAGGGGAAGTATAAGGACACTTTGCACCTCATTGGAGAGCACCATGATGGGGTCTCCAAGGCCAACTTCTCCATCGGTCCCATGATGCAAGACCTTGCAGGGACCTACAGATGCTACGGTTCTGTTACTCACTCCCCCTATCAGTTGTCAGCTCCCAGTGACCCTCTGGACATCGTCATCACAGGTGAGAGTGTCCGGACATTCTCATTGTCATTGGGCTGCAGAGTGAATGATCCACGACTTGGAACCCCCAGGTAGTTGTAAGGAAGATGAGCTTGGTATTCTTATGGAGAGAGACTGACTTGCTGAGGTTTGTACCAACAGAGACAGAGAAACAGGAGACACAAGTACAGACCAGGTGTCATAACGGAGGACAGACACAGGGGCCATACAGGGAGTTAGAAAAGACAGAAAGAGTTAAAGGAGACAGACAGACAGACATGTCCCAGAGAGAGGTGTCCCTCCATGCTGACTTTGCTCACAGACCTGGCACAGGATAGAAGTTTCATTTCTGTTTTACCTCCACAAAGTGTTCTCTACCAGGAGAACCCAAGGACACCCATATTTCTGACCTGAGTTGGGCCCTGTGGCCTCAGGCCTTGTGGCACCTACAGGCCATGTTTATTCTGACACCTCTGCCTTCCATGTAATGGAGAGTAACCGTCCCAGGATATCATGGCCCCAGAACACCAACCCCTGTATGCTGTGTGAACTTGTGGTCTCCAGACTGGATTCTGAGGCTCACATTCCAAATAACCCCACATATGAAAGGATCACTGAGAGGCACAGAGAGAAATCAGGAACACCAAAAAGCAAAGACATAAACACACAGAGAATGGGCCAGAGGAAGGAGATTGAGAGACTCACTGACACATAAAGAGAGAGAAAAGAGGGCAGAGGAGTGGTGAGAATGATGGAAGGGAGCAGAGAAAAGCACTAAAATTAGAGTCCTGAGGGAGAGGCACAAGGACATAGAAAGATGGAGATGTGGGGATGAACTGCAGAGATTCCAAAGAGAACTAGAGAGACCGAGAGGCAGAGCAAGACAGATGATAGATGGATAGATATAGATAGATGATAAATAGGTAGATGATAGATAATAGGTTAAAGATACATAGATGATGATTGATTGATTCATTAATAGATAATACATAGAGATGATGATGATGAAGACAGATAGATAATACGTACAGATAGAGAGGCAGACAGAAATCATAGAGAGAGAGATGATACATACATATAAATAACAGATGATTGATGGATAGATAGACAACTGATAGATACATAGATGATATATAGATATAGATGACAGGTAGAGAATTTGTAGATAGGCACCGAATAGATAAATAGATAGATCGACAGATAATAGATAGAAATATGCAGAAAGTTATGAACAGGACACAACGTGAGAAACTTAGAATTTAAAAAAGTAACATCAAGTCAACCAATCCAAGGAGAGTCAGAGAGAATAAAAGAATCCAAAAAGGGAAAACATATCTAGAGGTGGGGAAGCGAGGTCAGAGACCTAGAGAGACAGAGAAGGTGGAAGGAGGAAATAGACATGAAGAGAGATGGGGTGGAGGGTGAGAGAGAGAGAGAGAGAGCATTAGGTCATAGAGCAGGGGAGTGAGTTCTCAGCTCAGGTGAAGGGAGCTGTGACAAGGAAGATCCTCCCTGAGGAAAATGCCTCTTCTCCTTCCAGGTCTATATGAGAAACCTTCTCTCTCAGCCCAGCCGGGCCCCACGGTTTTGGCAGGAGAGAGCGTGACCTTGTCCTGCAGCTCCCGGAGCTCCTATGACATGTACCATCTATCCAGGGAGGGGGAGGCCCATGAACGTAGGTTCTCTGCAGGGCCCAAGGTCAACGGAACATTCCAGGCCGACTTTCCTCTGGGCCCTGCCACCCACGGAGGAACCTACAGATGCTTCGGCTCTTTCCGTGACTCTCCCTATGAGTGGTCAAACTCGAGTGACCCACTGCTTGTTTCTGTCACAGGTGAGGAAACCCCATATCTGTCTCATGTCCTATGATCCTAGAGCCTTAGCTGAGGAGCTTCCTGCTGATGATGGAGAGAAGCATGGACAGATGCAGAGAGAAGACGAAGCTTGGGTGTGAGGGAGGGATCAGGGCACAGGATGGCAGACAGGGCACCTCCAAACCCTCCTACACGGCCTGCATGAAGGCCCGCGGCCAGGGCTCCAGGCACACAGGCAGATGGAGAAAACGGTCAGGAGAGACCCAGAGGAGAGAGACTGGGCTCAGTTTGGGAAGATCAGAGGTTCCCTCAGCCCCTCAACATTATCCATTTCCCAGAAGCCCATCCTGGCCTCTCACCCACACAGGGATGTCATCACCAGCAACCCCTACACCCTTTACTTTTGTTTGAAGAAATATTTATTGAGGATAAATATACCTATATAGCTTACCACCTTTAACATTTTTTTTTTTTTTGAGGCAGAGTCTAGCTCTGTCCCCTATGCTGGAGTGCAGTGGCACAATCTCAGCTCACTGCAATTTCCGCCTCCTGGGTTCAAGCGATTCTCTTGCCTCAGCCACCTGAGTAGCTGGTGCTACAGGCGCGCACCACCACGCCAGGCTACTTTTTGTATTTTTAGTAGAGAGGTGGTTTCACCATGTTGGTCGAGCTGGTCTCCAACTCCTGACCACGTGATCCACCCGCATGTGCCTCCCAAAGTGCTGGGATTACAGGCATGAGCCACCACGCCCAGCCACATTTACCATTTTTAAGTGTAAAGTCTAGTGGTCATAAATACATTTATATATATATATATTTTTTTTTTTTTTTTACCCTCCACCCTTTTCTTCCTGGCCTCTGGAAGCCATCATTCTACTCTCTACCTTCATGAGATCCACCTTTTAGCTCTGTATATGGGTGAGAAATGGGAATCTTTGTAATGACTTCCAGTTCCATCCATGTGGCTGCAAATATCAGGATGTTATTCTTTCTATGGATGAGTAGTCTCCACTGTGCGTATGTACTACATTCTCTCTATCCATTCATCCACTGATGGGCAGGTAGGTTGACTCCACATCTTGGCTACTGTGAACAGTGCTGCACCAATCATACGAGTGCAGATATCACTTCGATATATTGATTTACTTTCCTTTGGATATAAACCCAGTAGTGAAATTGCTGGATACTATGAAAGTTCTCTTTTTAGTTTTTCGTTTGTTGTTTTGTTTTTGTTTTTGAGACAGTTTCCCTCTGTGCCCAGGCTGGAGTACAAGTGATGTCATCTTGGCTCATTGCAACCTCTGCCTCCTGGGTTCAAATGATTTTCCTGCCTCAGCCTCCCTAGTAGCTGGGATTACAGGTGCACGCCACCATGCCTGGCTACTTTTTGTTTTTTTTAGTATAGATGGGGTTTCCCCATGTTGGCTGGGCTGCTCTCAAACTCATGACCTCAACTGAGATGCCCGCCTCAGTCTCCCAAAGTGCCGGGATTACAGGCCTGATCCACCACACCCAACCTCTTTTTAGTTCTTTAAAGGACTTCCATACTTTTCTCCGTAATCGCTGTACTAATTTACACTCCTCCCAACAGGGTACCAGGGTTCTCCTTTCTCTACCACCTTGCCAGCATTTCTTTTGCCTGTCTTGCAGCTAAAAGCCATTTTATTTTATTTCATTTTATTTTGAGATGGAGTTTTGCTCTTCTCACCCAGGCAGGAGTGCAGTGGCGCTATCTCGGCTCACCACAACCTCCACCTCCCAGGTTCAAGCGATTCTCCTGCCTCAGCCTCCCGAGTAGCTGGAATTACAGGCACACTCCACCACGCCCGACTAATTTTTGTATTTTTAGTAGAGACAGTGTTTCTCTATGTGGGTCAGACTGGTCTCAAACTCCTGACCTTATGAGATTCACCCACCTCAGGCTCTCAAAGTTCTAGGATGACAGACGTGAGCCACCACGCCCGGCCTAAAAGCCATTTTAATGGGGTGAGATGAAAACTCACTTTGATTTTAATTTGCGTTTCTCTGATGATGAGTGATACTGAGCACTTTTTAGTATGTGGGGAAATTTCATGTCTTCTGCTCCTTTTTCAATTAAATCATTTGTTTTATTGAGTTGTTTGAGCTTCTTATATTTCTAGTTATTAATCCCATCTCAGATGCATAGTTTGCACATATTTGCTCCCAATCTGTGGGTTGTCTCTTCACTTTGTTGGTTTATTTTTAGCAGTGCAGAAGTTGCTTAGTTTGAGGTAATCCCAATGGTCTATTTTTGCTTCGATTACTTGTGTTTTCAAGGTTTAAAACAAAATGTCTTTCTTCAGACAAATGTCCTGGAGCATTTCCCCAATATTTTGTTCTACGTGTTTCATAGGTTCAGGCCTTAGACTCACATCTTTAATCCATTTTCATTTGATTTTTGTGTATGGTGACAGGTAGAGGTGCAGTTTCATTCCTCTGCATGTCGATGTCCAGGTTTCCCTGCACTGTTTATTGAAAAGACTGTCCTTTCCTGATTGTGAGTTCTTGGCACCTTTGTCAAAGTCCATTGGATGGGCTGGGCTTGGTGGCTGACACCTGCAATTTCAGCACTTTGGGAGGCCGAGGCGGGTGGATTACCTGAGGCCAGGAGTTCAAGATCAGTCTGGACGACGTGATGAAACATCGTCTCCACTAAAAATATAAAAATTAGCTGAGCATGGTGGTCAGCACCTGTAATACCACTACTCAGGAGTTTGAGGCAAGAGAATGATTGAACCCAGGAGGCTGAGGTTGCAGTGAACTGAGATTGCACCTCTGCACTCCAGCCTGAGTGACAGAGCAAGACTCCATCTCAAAAGAAAAAATAAAAAACCATTGGATGTAAATGCATGGAATATATCTGTGTTATTCATTCTGCTCCGTTGTTCTATGTCCCTTTCTTTATGCCAATGTCATGCTGTTTTGCTTACTACAGCTCTGTAACATATTTTGAGATCAGGTAGTGTGATGCTCCTGTTTTCTCTTTATACCTTGAAGTCTCAAGACAGTGGGCGTCACATAAAAAAATTATGGAAAAAAGGATCCCAGGACTCCCAGGGCCCAATATTAGATAACAGAGTGTTGGCCATGAACCATCCTCAAAGATTTCCACTGAGTAGAGGACAGACACCCTCATTTCCTCACCTCTCTCCTGTCTCATGTTCTAGGAAACCCTTCAAATAGTTGGCCTTCACCCACTGAACCAAGCTCCAAAACCGGTGAGTACAGAACCCTCTTATATCCGCTTTTGGAAACCTGGGGAGGTGGAAACCTTGGATTCAGGCGTTGACTCAGCATCTCACAGCTCTGACATTGTACCCCTGTCTTCCACCATCTCCGAACTCCAGATACTCCTACAGCGAAAGGGATCTGGGTCCAACACAGGGCTCAGTGAAATCTCTTCATCTCTCATTTTATGGAGCTGAGACTTCCTACAAGCTAGAAGAATGATTGCCAATCTGACATCCTTCTCAGGAAAAATGCAATGTTTGTTCTGCCTGCATTCCTAACTGGAGGATAAATTCCTGGAGACTTGAGAGAGGGAAGGGAAGGGAACATCTGATGAGGGCGAGGTGTTTTAGAGAAGTTCCACTTGCCAAGGAATGAGCTCCTATAGGTCATGAAGCAACCCTGGCTGACTCAGCAGAGAAAGAGCCTTGCTGTAACAGAGAACAGAGCTCATGCACGCACACTTCGACTCACTGACTCATTCAGCCACGGCCCCATGCTCAGGCTGTGCACTGTGGAAGCTTTTCCTATTGTTGCCATAACAAATTTCCACAAGATTCGTGGGTGAAAACAAAACGGTTTTTTAATTATCTTACAGTGCTGTAGCTCAAAGTATGAAGTGCATCTCACTGGGCTAAAATCAAGGTGACAGCAAGGCTGCCTTCCCTCTGAGGATTCCAGGCAAGAATCTGCTTCTCACTTTTCTCAGCTTCTAGAGGCTCCCACATTCCTTCGCTCCTGGTCCCCTTCCTCCTTCCTCAAAGCCCACAAAGACTGGTCACATCTCACATGGCATCACTCAGACCCTTCTTCCTTACCACACCTCTTTCTCTGAATGCTGCTCTCCCTTCTTCCTCATCTTTTGAAAACTTGGGGATTCTATTGGGTTCACCAAGATGAAAATCCATCATAATCTCCCGGAAATCATTCAGGATACCCTTGTTTTAAGTTCAGCTGATTAGCAACCATAATTCCATCTGCAATCTTCATTCCTCCTTTCCATGTAAAATAAGATATTCACAAGCTATGGAGGCTAGGACAGGGACATTTTGGGGTGGGACAGCATTCTCCTGCCTTCCACAAACAGTGAACAAGATGCATTTGGCCTCTGCTCTTTGGACACTGATATTGCAGATGGTTAAATGGGAGGGCAGAAAATGAATGCACAAGTGGACCAATAAATGAATGATCCATTGGGAAGCATCTGTGTATGAAATCTATTTGTTTGTTTCTTCATTTGTTTATTGAGACAGAGTCTCCCTCTGTCTTCCAGGCTACAGTGCAGTGTCACCATCTTGGCTCACTGCAACCTGCACCTTCTGGATCCAAGTGATTCTCCTGCGTCAGCCTCTCAAGTAGCTGGGATTACAGGCAACTGCCACCATGCCCGGCTAATTCTTTTTGTATATTTTTTGTAGAGGATGTTTCACCATCTTCGCCAAGCTTCTCTGAAACTCCCAACCTCAAGTGATCCGACCGTCTCAGCATCCTAAAGTACTGGGATAACTGGCGTGAGCCACTGTGCCCAGCCAGAATTTAAAATAAATAATACATAATGCTGAGTGTATGATTTTGGGTGACAGAGAAGATCTCACTAATCAGATATTTGTGACATTAATGAAAAACACGGATTGAACCCCTGAAAGATTGGCGGAAGGATTTTCCACACACAGCTGTCAGCCGTGAAGGCAGAAAGCTGAAAACAATCTGATGTGGAAGGAAGAGGCTCTGCCTCAAATGCTGGGAATGAGGTGGGGAGAATGACAAGACGACTGTGGAGAGACGGAGAGCACACTGGGTACACAGGAAACTAAGGAGCAACAAGGAGTGTGTGTTTGACACTCACAGCCATTGGATTCACCTCGGGGTAGCCAGGAATCCCTACATGATTAATAGTGACTGACATGAAAATAAGGGAGGCCCAGGTGCGTAACTGGAATCTAGGAGACTGTGGAAAAGGCAATTCCCGCCCCACTGGTGAAATGTGGTGCTGATTTAGACCCTAACTGGGTGAAGCAGATGGATATAAGCTATGCTTGTGAGGTGGAATCATTGGCTGGAAAGGCTTGCTGGGTATGATTTTCCTAGTTGTCTAATCCTCGCTTAATTTCTTTCTGAGCTTTATTCCTACTACACATAAATCAATACCTGGCAAAGGAGTGACAGATATATGAGGGGTGGTGGAAATGAAGGGACCTATTATAGCATAATATACAAGTCTGTGAACGGTGGCTCACGCCTGTAACCCAGCACTGCAGGAGGCCAAGGCGGGTGGATCACATGAAGTCAGCAGTTCGAGACCAGCCTGGCCAACATGGTGAAACCCTGTCTCTAGGAAAAACACAAAAATTAGCCGAGCATGGTGGTGCATCCCTGTAATCCCAGCTCCTACTCTGGAGGATGAAGCAGGAGAATGACTTCAACCCAGGAGGTGGAGGTTGCAGTGAGTGGAGATTGCATCACTGCACTCCAGCCTGGGTGACACAAGGAGACTCCGTCTCAAAAAATAAAAATAAGAAATGCATAAATATAAATATAATATAACACATGCAAATGAGAAAGGGACCTGAATTCCAATCATGATTTTTCTATTTCTCTATAATTACTTCTTTGATCCTTTATCTTATCCATTAGGCAATGAGCCTAAAACCTCTTCCCTATTTGGCTTTCTGTGAGCATGAGATCATATAGAAAATGTGAAAGCCCGCTGAATCCTCCAGCACAGATCCTGGAATACACAAAGTGCTCTGTTCATCACAAGAAAACATGCCCTCTCACCCAAATCCCCCACCTCACCCCTACTTCCAATCATCTGTGGAGATTCAGATAGGCCATGGGGAGGTAAATTCTAATACTCCTTGGAGTGAGTCCAGATCTTGGAATCAGAGATTAGCGTCAGCAGTAGCTCCTGCTCCCCTTTCCTACTAATTCACAGGAGGACAGGTGGTATTGAAGCAATAGATGGCCGAGGGGGTGGTCCTTCCCCCAGCCTCTCGGGTAGAACAGCAACCTAACATGTGTCTCCTGAGATCACAAAGAGTAGCACGTTTCACATGGGCTTCAACACTGTTTCCTGGCCATTTGACATAAGAGAATTCTACTTCGCTTTTTTTATCTTGATTTCACTTTTGTTTCCTTTTCTTGGAGAATGCAAGTTGTTTGACTCAAGAATGCCGTGGATGTAGAAATCCTAAAGCACAGTCGCTGTGTATCAATCCCAGTGCAGTCTTCCCAGAGAAGACTCTAAACACCTCCTGGACTGCACCTGGGCCTATGCCAATTCCTATCACTCACCGTCACTCCAGGGAGACAGAACACACAGAGAATACATTACACAGGCAGGTTCATTACTAACAGATAAGCAGCGAGTGACAACAGAAGCCTACATTTCAATGTGAGCCAGTCCCTCAAGGCTCAGAAAAGCTGCTCGGGACATATGGAGTCACCCCATTTGCAGTGTAGCTGGGGGAAGCCAGAAAGCAGCCCAGCCTGGGTTTTGTACCCTGGAGCCACAGGAAGCACTCAGCTAAAGCACTGCATGACGCCTTCCTCCAGGAAGAACAGGAAGACAGCCCAGGCTGTTCTGAGACATTCCTCCTGATCTCAGGTCGTTGCTGTCTTAGTTTTTTTTTTTGTTGCTCTGAAGGAACACTTGAGCCTCGGTAACTTCTAAAGAAAAGAGATCGGTTTGCCTCACAGTTCTGCAGGCTGTACTGGAAGCATGGCACCAGAATCTATTTCTCGTGATGGCCTCAGGCTGCTCCCACTCTGGCAGAAGGGAAGGAGGGTCTGTCTGTGCAGAGACCACAGAGATCACACGGCAAGAGAGAGAGTAAGGGGGAGAGGGAGCAATGGAGCTTCCAAGCTCTTTTTAACAACCAGCTGTCCAGGAACTAACAGAGGGGGAACTTGCTAACCCCGTCTCCTTGGGACAGCATTGATCTGTTCATGATGGATCCACCTCCATGACCCAAACACCTCTGAAGAGGCCCAACCTCCCACAATGGGGGTGAAATTTCAATGTGAGGTTTGAAGGGGTCAAACATCTCAACTAAAGTAGTTGTATCCTCAGCACGTTCTATGGTTACTATGAGAGCTATAATTGAGAAAGCAGGGGAAAGCTAGGTCTCCCGCCATTTGGGTGCTTGTCCTAAAGAGACGTTGTATGTGGTTACCTGCCAATCAAGAAATGCGAGACAATTCATAAAGAGGAACTGCTATGATTAGCTTCTTATTGGTGTCTCCTCTTCTTCCAGGTAACCCCAGACACCTGCATGTTCTGATTGGGACCTCAGTGGTCAAAATCCCTTTCACCATCCTCCTCTTCTTTCTCCTTCATCGCTGGTGCTCCAACAAAAAAAGTAAGTCTCACGAAGCAGAGGCCAGAGAGCTCAGGGCCATGTGGGGAAGCAGGATGGGAGCACTCAGGTGTGTGTTCCTCACCAGCAGGATGGTCCCTGGCCCAAGACAGGAGCCACAGAGGCAGGACTTTCTAGAGAGAGCACCAGATTCCCTTCCCCTGCCTTCAGCTCACAGACCGTTGCCTGATTCTGAACTGTACCCTCACGTCCCCTGCAGCCACTCACATCCAGGAGAAGGTTCCATGACAGGCAGAAAGTGGGAGATAGAATCAATGGGATGGGAACTCAGAGCTATTCATGGGATGGGTCCTTGAACTCAGAGAGATAGAATGTCTGAGTCTGCTGTTGGCAACTGAGGGACCTCAGGCACCTATGGCCTCCCCCTGTTTGTTGGTATCTGCTTATGAAATGAGGACCCAGAAGTGCCCTCCGAGCTCTTTTGTTGACTTCCGTCTTCTACAGATGCTGCTGTAATGGACCAAGAGCCTGCAGGGAACAGAACAGTGAACAGCGAGGTAGGTGCTCCTCGGCCCAGCCTCGTGGCTAGTCTTATTCCCAAAGAGTCCTGAAAAATGTGAGCACCCTCCCTCACTCAGCATTTCCCTCTCTCCAGGATTCTGATGAACAAGACCATCAGGAGGTGTCATACGCATAATTGGATCACTGTGTTTTCACACAGAGAGAAATCACTCGCCCTTCTGAGAGGCCCAAGACACCCCCAACAGATACCAGCATGTACATAGAACTTCCAAATGCTGAGCCCAGATCCAAAGTTGTCTTCTGTCCACGAGCACCACAGTCAGGCCTTGAGGGGATCTTCTAGGGAGACAACAGCCCTGTCTCAAAACCGGGTTGCCAGCTCCCATGTACCAGCAGCTGGAATCTGAAGGCATCAGTCTTCATCTTAGGGCATCGCTCTTCCTCACACCACGAATCTGAACATGCCTCTCTCTTGCTTACAAATGTCTAAGGTCCCCACTGCCTGCTGGAGAGAAAACACACTCCTTTGCTTAGCCCACAATTCTCCATTTCACTTGACCCCTGCCCACCTCTCCAACCTAACTAGCTTACTTCCTAGTCTACCTGAGGCTGCAATCACACTGAGGAACTCACAATTCCAAACATACAAGAGGCTCCCTCTTAACACAGCACTTAGACACGTGCTGTTCCACCTCCCTTCAGACTATCTTTCAGCCTTCTGCCAGCAGTAAAACTTATAAATTTTTTAAATAATTTCAATGTAGTTTTCCCGCCTTCAAATAAACATGTCTGCCCTCATGGTTTCGGTAACGAGACTCTTCTCTTGCCTAAGGCTTCCGGTGTTATCATTACCATGTCCACATAACCCCATCTGTTCTCCATTGGGTTCTCAGCCCTGGACTCTGAGCTTCTGGAAGCAGAATGGAGCCTGAATTGTCTCTGAGACTCCAATTTCCATCCAAAGATACAGCACATAGGAGGCTCCAAGGATCGTGAATCACATGAACAAGTGATATTCTTACTCTCTGCAGACCTGGAAAGCTGGCAGAGTCATTCCACGATGAAACATTTGTAGAGTCATAGGCCTTGTTAGTCTCATCTCCACGGGGACACATATCAACATATCATCTTTCATAATATAAATATACAGTCGGTCCTCCATATCTGTGGGGTTTACAGGTGTTTATTGAACCAACAATAAATCAAAAATATTTTGAGAAAAAAATCCCCGAAGTTTCAAGAAGCAAAAAACTATGTTGAATCGACACAAATTGAGTGGCGTGTAGGCTGTGTCAGGAATTATAAGTAATCAAGAGATGATTTCATGTATACAGGAGGATGTGCATGGGTTCTATGCAATTGCTATGCTATTTTTTTTTTTTGAGACAGTCTCACTCTCTCACCCAGGCTGGAGTGCAGTGGCGTGATCTCAACTCACTGCAACCTCCGCCTCCCAGGTTCAAGCGATTGTCTTCCCTCAGCCTCCCCAGTAGCCTCCCCTAGGATTACAGGCACGTGCCACCATGCACAGATAAATTTTTTTGTGTGTGTATTTTTAGTAGAGACGGGGTTTCAGAATGTTGGACCAGCTGGTCTTGAACTCCTGACCTTGTGATCTACCCAGCTCAGCCTCCCAAAGTGCTGGGATTACGGGCGTGAGCCACGGTGCCCAGCTTCACTATGCCATTTCATGCAAGGGGCTTGAGCATCTGCAGATTTTGGTATCTGAATGGGGATCCTGGAACCAATCACCCAGGTATAGTGAAGGACCATGGTATATAATTTTTATTTGTCAATCTTAAAAATAAAGCATAAAAAATTTACAACAACAAGATAAAAAATAAGAAGTGTTTTTATAGTGTGAGGATAAGTTTAGATTTATTTTTTCCTACGTGTAACCCTATGGTCCTGTGTTATTTGTTGAGAAAATATTCTATTCCACCTTAAACTACATGGCAGCCTTTGTCAACTATAAAGGGACTGTGTATCCACAGATGTATTTTAGACACAGTTTTCTGTCCAGTGGTTCTCTGTATCCCCTCTCATGAGGATGCTGCATTTTATATAAACTTATAGAACCCCTTAAAATTTGGTAACCTGAGTCCTCTGATTTGTTATTATAGGTTATTTAGTTTGCTTTTTTTTTTTTCTTGAGACAGACTCTTCCTCTGTCACCCAAGCTGGAGTTCAGTGGCTTGAGCTCAGCTCACTGCAACCTCCGCCTCCCAGGTTCAAGCTATTCTGATGCCTCTGGTTTAGTACTAGAAACTCAAGCAGGAAAATTAGAATGGCTTCTTGTCACAATTACTCTGATAATGTTAATAATACCTGTTAGACATTTTGCACATTACATATGAAGAAGAGTTTGAATCTCAGATAAAAACAAAAATACATCAAAAATCTTTAATGTAAGCACAGAATTCAATCATCTCGTGTATGAGAGGTTGGATCTGAGACGTCTTTTGAGTCTGGTCGTAGTGAAGGACGCAAGGTGTCAATTCTAGTGAGAACAATTTCCAGGAAGCCATGTTCCGCTCTTGAGCGAGCACCCACTGGGCCTCATGCAAGGTAGAAAGAGCCTGCGTACGTCACCCTCCCATGATGTGGTCAACATGTAAACTGCATGGGCAGGGCGCCAAATAACATCCTGTGCGCTGCTGAGCTGAGCTGGGGCGCGGCCGCCTGTCTGCACAGACAGCACCATGTCGCTCATGGTCGTCAGCATGGCGTGTGTTGGTGAGTCCTGGAAGGGAATCGAGGGAGGGAGTGCGGGGATGGAGATCGGGGCCCAGAGTTGGAGATATAGGCCTGGAAGTGGAGTTATGGGCCTAGAGATGGAGTGATGGGCCTAGAAGTGGAGATCTGGGCCTGGAGTGGAGATATGGGCCTGGAGGTTGAGATATGGGCCTGCAGTAGAGATATGGGCTTGTAGTGGAGACATGGGCCTGGAGATGGAGATATGGGCCTGGAGATGGAGATATGGGCCTGCAGTAGAGATAGGGGCCTGGAGTGGAGATATGGGCCTGGAGTGGAGATATGGGCCTGAAGTGGAGATATGGGCCTGGAGGTGGAGATATGGGCCTGGAGGTGGAGATATGGGCCTGGAGTGGAGATATGGGTCTGGAGGTGGAGATACGGGCCTGCAGTAGAGATATGGGCCTGGAGTGGAGATATGGGCCAGGAGTGGAGTTATGGGCCTAGAGGTGGATATCTGGGCCTGGAGTGGAGATATGGGCCTAGGAAGGAGATATGGGCCTGGGTGTGGAGATATGGGACTGGAGAGGTGATATGGGCCTGGAGTGGAGATATGGGCTTAGGGTGGAGTTCTGGGCCTGGGGCGGAGATATGGGACTGGATTGGAGATAGGGGCCTAGGGTGGAGATCTGAGCCTGGATTGGCGATATGGGCCTAGGGTGGAAATATCAGCCTGGAGTGGAGATATGGGCTTGGGGTGGGGATATGGGCCTGGAAACTGGGTCTCTGCACAGCCGACAGCCCTGTTCTTGGGTGCAGGTAGGCACTGAGGGTGAGTTTAACTTCAGCCCAGGAAGGGCCTGGCTGCCAAGACTCACAGCCCAGTGGGGGCAGCAAGGGAGGGCTGGTTCGCCTGCAGATGGATCGTCCATCATGATCTTTCTTTCCAGGGTTCTTCTTGCTGCAGGGGGCCTGGCCACATGAGGGTGAGTCCTTCTCCAAACCTTCGGGTGTCATCTCCCCACATAAGAGGATTTTCCTGAAACAGGAGGGAAGTCCTGTCGGGGAGTCTCTCATAAACTAGGAAGAGAGGACCCTGGGGTGCTCAGCCCACATTTCTGACCTCGCCTCCCTGGCCTCTCAACCCCTTGGCAGAGTCAAGTTCTGTGGGGACCAGGGTTAGACTGGGGTGCTCAAAGCTGGGGTGTGTGGTTGGGAAGTGGTAGGAACAGCAGATCCTCTGAGGACAAAGGTGTTACTCACACACTTCAGCGTTTCCATGATGGTAGGGGCTGCAGTGTGGCTGCTGTCATTCTACCAGAAGAGGTGGGAAACCACAGCCATGGCCCTGACATTCCAAATCCTCTGATGGGGGCTCAGTTGTTTATTTTCGTTCAGGCATCCGCTGATATCCATTCACAAAGGACATGCCCTCCACCTCATGTCTACCCTGTGTTGTTTTATGTGAGTAATCTTACAGTATCAAAATCTAGTAGGAGTCTCTTTACTCAGCACTTGCTCAAAGTTCTCAGCTGAGGCTTTTGTTGTAGGGAGACACCATGTCTTTGCGGGATGGGTCCTTCCTTCAGCCCTGGGCACCAAGGTGTGATAGTAGCCATAGAAACGTGGAAAGCGAGGAGAATCTTCTGAGCACAGGGAGGGAGGGGCAGTTCCACATCCTCCTCTCTAAGGCGGCGCCTCCTTCTCCCCAAGGTGGTCAGGACAAGCCCTTGCTGTCTGCCTGGCCCAGCCTTGTGGTGCCTCTAGGACATGTCATTCTTCGGTGTCACTCTTATCTTGGGTTTAACAACTTCAGTCTGTACAAGGAAGGTGGGGTGCCTGTCCCTGAGCTCTACAACAGAATATTCTGGAACAGCCTTTTCATGGGCCCTGTGACCCCCGCACAACAGGGACATACAGATGTCGGGGTTCACACACACACTCCCCCAGTGGGTGGTCAGCACCCAGCAACCCCCTGGTGATCGTGGTCATAGGTCAGAGGGCTCCTGTCTTGGATTCTCCTTGTCCCACCTCCTGAATCCCAGAGCTTCTGGTGGGCATGTCCTTGAGGGTCCCATCACGCAGGCCCTGACTGTATTTGTGGTAAAGGGGGATTGAATACAGGGAAATGGGTGCTGTGGTGGGAAGAATAATTGTCCCCAGTGATGACTACATTCTAATCCCTGGAGTCTGTGACTATGTATGTTATAGGGGAAGGGACTGAAGGGGAAGATGGAGCTCATGGGGAGACAGCCTGGACTGTCCCACTGGGCTCAGTGTAATCACAAGGGTGCACATGAAAGGAGGAGGAAGAGGGGAGTGGGGATTAGAGCAGTCCAGTGGAAGTCTTCACCAGCTTTGAAGGTGGAGGAAGGCCAAGAGCCATGAATGCAGGTGGCCTATAGAGGCTGGAAAAGTCAAGGAACTGATTCTCCAGAGTCTCCAGAGGGAACAAAGCCCTGCAGATGCCTTGATTTTAGCCCAGGAAAAATAGGGTCCAATTTCTGTCTCCAGTACTGGAAGGTGTCAGTGTGGTCTCTCCTGCTTCCATGCTTCTGATAATTTTGTACAGCAGCAACAGGAAACCAACACTGGAACCCAGGTCAAGGACAAGTTAAGAAACAACCCAAGGAAAGCCAGGCATGGTGGCAGGTGCATGTAATCCTAGCGACTCAGGAGGCTGAGGGCAGGAGAATCACTTGAACCCAGGAAACAGAGGTTGCAGTGAGCCTAGACCACACCACTTCACTCCAGCCTGGGTGAAGGAGTGAGACTCTGTCTCCAAAATTAATTAATTAATTAAAGAAACCAAAGAAGGAGAAGGTTGGCTACCCTGAGATCAGCAAGGGTGGGATGATGATGCCACCACCAGGCTCCATCCACATAGGGAGGGGTTGATACTCCTCCAACCAGCACCAGGAGCCAGCCTATGGAAGCTGGCACCATGGAGAAGGCACAGGCATGGCAAGAGTGGCTCCCAGTCCCCACCAGGAACAGGGTGTGTGGACACTGGTGCCTGCCTTATTCATCAGTTCATATCTTCTGCCAAGGATTGCAATTCATCCAAAAGAGATTGAACCAGGCTGATAAGAGCCTGGATGTGCAGCCTATCCTGGTTCCTCTTTCACCCCCACATAAACAGCAGGAAAGACATTAGTGTGAAATAGATACAACACCCCAAGAGATGAGGCTAAGCCCAGTGGGAAGGGAATCAGAGGCTACTAGAGACAGAGGGACAGAGAAGAGGGAGGGAGACAGATGGAAGGACCTGCACCAGGAGTTAAGGGCACAGAAAAGAACATGAAGACACAGAGAGGAAGGAGAGAGACAGACACCAGCAAGGGGAAGCCTCACTCATTCTAGGTGCCATGGATGGGATGATAAAGAGAGACACCTTCTAAACTCACAACCTCTCTTCCTAGGAGTCCACAGAAAACCTTCCCTCCTGGCCCACCCAGGTCGCCTGGTGAAATCAGAAGAGACAGTCATCCTGCAATGTTGGTCAGATGTCAGGTTTGAGCACTTCCTTCTGCACAGAGAAGGGAAGTTTAAGGACACTTTGCACCTCATTGGAGAGCACCATGATGGGGTCTCCAAAGCCAACTTCTCCATCGGTCCCATGATGCAAGACCTTGCAGGGACCTACAGATGCTACGGTTCTGTTACTCACTCCCCCTATCAGTTGTCAGCTCCCAGTGACCCTCTGGACATCGTCATCACAGGTGAGAGTGTCCGGACATTCTCATTGTCATTGGGCTGCAGAGTGAATGATCCACGACTTGGAACCCCCAGGTAGTTGTAAGGAAGATGAGCTTGGTATTCTTATGGAGAGAGACTGACTTGCTGAGGTTTGTACCAACAGAGACAGAGAAACAGGAGACACAAGTACAGACCAGGTGTCATAACGGAGGACAGACACAGGGGCCATACAGGGAGTTAGAAAAGACAGAAAGAGTTAAAAGAGACAGACAGACAGACATGTCCCAGAGAGAGGTGTCCCTCCATGCTGACTTTGCTCACAGACCTGGCACAGGTTAGAAGTTTCATTTCTGTTTTACCTCCACAAAGTGTTCTCTACCAGGAGAACCCAAGGACACCCATATTTCTGACCTGAGTTGGGCCCTGTGGCCTCAGGCCTTGTGGCACCTACAGGCCATGTTTATTCTGACACCTCTGCCTTCCATGTAATGGAGAGTAACCGTCCCAGGATATCATGGCCCCAGAACACCAACCCCTGTATGCTGTGTGAACTTGTGGTCTCCAGACTGGATTCTGAGGCTCACATTCCAAATAACCCCACATATGAAAGGATCACTGAGAGGCACAGAGAAAAATCAGGAACACCAAAAAGCAAAGACATAAACACACGGAGAATGAGCCAGAGGAAGGAGATTGAGAGACTCACAGACACATAAAGAGAGAGAAAAGAGGGCAGAGGAGTGGTGAGAATGATGGCAGGGAGCAGAGAAAAGCACTAAAATTAGAGTCCTGAGAGAGAGGCACAAGGACATAGAAACATGGAGATGTGGGGATGAATTGCAGAGATTCCAAAGAGAGCTAGAGAGACCGAGAGGCAGAGCAATACAGATGATAGATGGATAGATATAGATAGATGATAAATAGGTAGATGATAGATAATAGGTTAAAGATACATAGATGATGATTGATTGATTCATTAATAGATAATACATAGAGATGATGATGATGAAGACAGATAATACGTACAGATAGAGAGGCAGACAGAAATCATAGAGAGAGAGATGATACATACATATAAATAACAGATGATTGATGGATAGATAGACAACTGATAGATACATAGATGATATATAGATATAGATGACAGGTAGAGAATTTGTAGATAGGCACCGAATAGATAAATAGATAGATCGACAGATAATAGATAGAAATATGCAGAAAGTTATGAACAGGACACAACGTGAGAAACTTAGAATTTAAAAAAGTAACATCAAGTCAACCAATCCAAGGAGAGTCAGAGAGAATAAAACAATCCAAAAACGGAAAACATATCTAGAGGTGGGGAAGCGAGGTCAGAGACCTAGAGAGACAGAGAAGGTGGAAGAAGGAAATAGACATGAAGAGAGATGGGGTGGAGGGTGAGAGAGAGAGAGAGAGAGCATTAGGTCATAGAGCAGGGGAGTGAGTTCTCAGCTCAGGTGAAGGGAGCTGTGACAAGGAAGATCCTCCCTGAGGAAAATGCCTCTTCTCCTTCCAGGTCTATATGAGAAACCTTCTCTCTCAGCCCAGCCGGGCCCCACGGTTCTGGCAGGAGAGAGCGTGACCTTGTCCTGCAGCTCCCGGAGCTCCTATGACATGTACCATCTATCCAGGGAGGGGGAGGCCCATGAATGTAGGTTCTCTGCAGGGCCCAAGGTCAACGGAACATTCCAGGCCGACTTTCCTCTGGGCCCTGCCACCCACGGAGGAACCTACAGATGCTTCGGCTCTTTCCGTGACTCTCCATACGAGTGGTCAAACTCGAGTGACCCACTGCTTGTTTCTGTCACAGGTGAGGAAACCCCATATCTGTCTCATGTCCTATGATCCTAGAGCCTTAGCTGAGGAGCTTCCTGCTGATGATGGAGATAAGCATGGACAGATGCAGAGAGAAGACGAAGCTTGGGTGTGAGGGAGGGATCAGGGCACAGGATGGCAGACAGGGCACCTCCAAACCCTCCTACACGGCCTGCATGAAGGCCCGCGGCCAGGGCTCCAGGCACACAGGCAGATGGAGAAAGCGGTCAGGAGAGACCCAGAGGAGGGAGACTGGGCTCAGTTTGGGAAGATCAGAGGTTCCCTCAGCCCCTCAACATTACCCATTTCCCAGAAGCCCATCCTGGCCTCTCACCCACACAGGGATGTCATCACCAGCAACCCCTACACCCTTTACTTTTGTTTGAAGAAATATTTATTGAGGATAAATATACCTATATAGCTTACCACCTTTAACATTTTTTTTTTTTTTGAGGCAGAGTCTAGCTCTGTCCCCTATGCTGCAGTGCAGTGGCACAATCTCAGCTCACTGCAACTTCCGCCTCCTGGGTTCAAGTGATTCTCCTGCCTCAGCCACCTGAGTAGCTGGTGCTACAGGCGCGCACCACCACGCCAGGCTACTTTTTGTATTTTTAGTAGAGAGGTGGTTTCACCATGTTGGTCGAGCTGGTCTCCAACTCCTGACCACGTGATCCACCCGCATCTGCCTCCCAAAGTGCTGGGATTACAGGCATGAGCCACCACTCCCAGCCACATTTACCATTTTTAAGTGTAAAGTCTAGTGGTCATAAATACATTTATAAATATATATATATATATATATGTATGTATATATATATACACACACATATATATACATATATATATGTGTATATATATATATATATATATATATATATATATATATATATATTTTTTTTTTTTTTTTTACCCTCCACCCTTTTCTTCCTGGCCTCTGGAAGCCACCATTCTACTCTCTACCTTCATGAGATCCACCTTTTAGCTCTGTATATGGGTGAGAAATGGGAATCTTTGTAATGACTTCCAGTTCCATCCATGTGGCTGCAAATATCAGGATGTTATTCTTTCTATGGATGAGTAGTCTCCACTGTGCGTATGTACTACATTCTCTCTATCCATTCATCCACTGATGGGCAGGTAGGTTGACTCCACATCTTGGCTACTGTGAACAGTGCTGCACCAATCATACGAGTGCAGATATCACTTCGATATATTGATTTACTTTCCTTTGGATATAAACCCAGTAGTGAAATTGCTGGATACTATGAAAGTTCTCTTTTTAGTTATTCGTTTGTTGTTTTGTTTTTGTTTTTGAGACAGTTTCCCTCTGTGCCCAGGCTGGAGTACAAGTGATGTCATCTTGGCTCATTGCAACCTCTGCCTCCTGGGTTCAAATGATTTTCCTACCTCAGCCTCCCTAGTAGCTGGGATTACAGGTGCACGCCACCATGCCTGGCTACTTTTTGGTTTTTTTAGTATAGATGGGGTTTCCCCATGTTGGCTGGGCTGCTCTCAAACTCATGACCTCAACTGAGGTGTCCGCCTCGGTCTCCCAAAGTGCCGGGATTACAGGCATGATCCACCTCACCCAACCTCTTTTTAGTTCTTTAAAGGACTTCCACACTTTTCTCCGTAAAGGCTGTACTAATTTACACTCCTACCAACAGGGTATTAGGGTTCTCCTTTCTCTACCACTTTGGCAGGATTTCCTTTGCCTGTCTTGCAGCTAAAAGCCATTTTACTTTATTTCATTTTATTTTGAGATGGAGTTTCGCTCTTGTCACCCAGGCTGGAGTGCAGTGGTGCGATCTCGGCTCACCACAACCTCCACCTCCCAGGTTCAAGCGATTCTCCTGCCTCAGCCTCCCGAGTAGCTGGAATTACAGGCACACGCCACCACGCCCGACTAATTTTTGTATTTTTAGTAGAGACAGTGTTTCTCCATGTGGGTCAGACTGGTCTCAAACTCCCGACCTTATGAGATTCACCCACCTCAGGCTCTCAAAGATCTAGGATGACAGACGTGAGCCACCACGCCCGGCCTAAAAGCCATTTTAATGGGGTGAGATGAAAACTCACTTTGATTTTAATTTGCGTTTCTCTGATGATGAGTGATACTGAGCAGTTTTTCGTATGTGGGGAAATTTCATGTCTTTTGCTCCTGTTTCAATTAAATCATTTGTTTTATTGAGTTGTTTGAGCTTCTTATATTTCTAGTTATTAATCCCATCTCAGATGCATAGTTTGCACATATTTGCTCCCAATCTGTGGGTTGTCTCTTCACTTTGTTGGTTTATTTTTAGCGGTGCAGAAGTTGCTTAGCTTGAGGTAATCCCAATGGTCTATTTTTGCTTCGATTACTTGTGTTTTGAAGGTTTAAAACAAAATGTCTTCCTTCAGACAAATGTCCTGGAGCATTTCCCCAATATTTTCTTCTACGTGTTTCATAGGTTCAGGCCTTAGACTCACATCTTTAATCCATTTTCATTTGATTTTTGTGTATGGTGACAGGTAGAGGTGCAGTTTCATTCCTCTGCATGTAGATGTCCAGGTTTCCCTGCACTGTTTATTGAAAAGACTGTCCTTTCCTGATTGTGAGTTCTTGGCACCTTTGTCAAAGTCCATTGGATGGGCTGGGCATGGTGACTGACACCTGCAATTTCAGCACTTTGGGAGCCCAAGGCGGGTGGATCACCTGAGGCCAGGAGTTCAAGATTAGTCTGGCCGACGTGATGAAACATTGTCTCCACTAAAAATATATAAATTAGCTGAGCATGGTGGTCAGCACCTATAATACCACTACTCAGGAGTTTGAGGCCAGAGAATTGATTGAACCCAGGAGGCTGTGGTGGCAGTGAACCGAGATTGCACCTCTGCACTCCAGCCTGGGTGACAGAGCGAGACTCCATCTCAAAAGAAAAAAGAAAAAAACATTGGATGTAAATGCATGGATTATATTTGTGTTGTTCATTCTGCTCCATTGTTCTATGTGCCTTTCTTCATGCCAACATCATGCTGTCTTGCTTACTACAGCTCTGTAACATATTTTGAGATCAGGTAGTGTGATGCTCCTGTTTTCTCTTTATACCTTGAAGTCTCAAGACAATGGGCGTCACATACAAAAATTATGGAAAAAAGGATCCCAGGACTCCCAGGGCCCAATATTAGATAACAGAGTGTTGGCCATGAACCAACCTCAAAGATTTCCATTGAGTAGAGGACAGACACCCTCATTTCCTCACCTCTCTCCTGTCTCATGTTCTAGGAAACCCTTCAAATAGTTGGCCTTCACCCACTGAACCAAGCTCTAAAACCGGTGAGTACAGAACCCTCTTATATCCGCTTTTGGAAACCTGGGGAGGTAGAAACCTTCGATGCAGGCATTGACTCAGCATCTCGCAGCTCTGACATTGTACGCCTGTCTTCTACCATCTCCGAACTCCAGATACTCCAACAGCGAAAGGGATCTGGGCCCAACCTAGGGCTCAGTGAAATCTCTTAATCTCTCATTTTATGGAGCTGAGACCTCCTACAAGCTAGAAGAATGATTGCCAATCTGACATCCTTCTCAGGAAAAATGCAATGTTTGTTCTGCCTGCATTCCTAACTGGAGGATAAATTCCTGGGGGCTTGAGAGAGGGAAGGGAAGGGAACATCTGATGAGGGCGAGGTGTTTTAGAGAAGTTCCACTTGCCAAGGAATGAATTACTGTTGGTCATGAAGCAACCCTGGCTGACTCAGCAGAGCAACAGCCTTGCCGTAACAGAGAACGGAGCTCATGCACGCACACTTCGACTCACTGACTCATTCAGCCACGGCCCCATGCTCAGGCTGTGCAGTGCGGAACCTTTTCCTATTGTTGCCATAACAAATTTCCACAAGATTCGTGGGTGAAAACAAAACGGTTTTTTAATTATCTTACAGTGCTGTAGCTCAAAGTAGGAAGTGCATCTTACTGGGCTAAAATCAAGGTGACAGCAAGGCTGCCTTCCCTCTGAGGATTCCAGGCAAGAATCTGCTTCTCACTTGTCCCAGCTTCTAAAGGCTCCCAGTTCCTTGGCTCCTGGTCCCCTTCCTCCTTCCTCAAAACCCACAAAGACTGGTCACATCTCACATGGCATCACTCAGTGCCTTCTTCCTTACCACACCTCTTTCTCTGAATGCTGCTCTCCCTTCTTCCTTATCTTTTGAAAACTTGGGGATTCTATTGGGTTCACCAAGATGAAAATCCCTCATAATCTCCTGGAAATCATCCAGGATACCCTTGTTTTAAGTTCAGCTGATTAGCAACCGTAATTCCATCTACAATCTTCATTCCTCCTTTCCATGTAAAATAACATATTCACAAGGTATGGAGGCTAGGACAGGGACATTTTGGGGTGGGACAGCATTCTCCTGCCTTCCACAAACAGTGAACAAGATGCATTTGGCCTCTGCCCTTGGGACACTGATATTGCAGATGGTTAAATGGGAGGGCAGAAAATGAATGCACAAGTGGATCTATAAATGAATGATCCATTGGGAAGCATCTGTGCATGAAATCTATTTTTTGTTTGTTCTTTTGTTTATTGAGACAGAGTTGCCCTCTGTCTTCCAGGCTACAGTGCAGTGTCACGATCTTGGCTCACTGCAACCTGCTTCTCCTGGATTCAAGTGATTCTCCTGCCTCCGCCTCTCGAGTAGCTGGGATTACAGGCAACTGCCACCGTGCCCGGCTAATTCTTTTTGTATATTTTTTGTAGAGAGGATGTTTCACCACGTTGGCCAAGCTTGTCTGAAACTCCCAACCTCAAGTGATCCGACCGTCTCAGCATGCCAAAGTAATGGGACTACAGGCGTGAGCCACTGTGCCCAGCCAGAATTCAAAATCAATAATAGATAATGCTGAGTGTATGATTTCAGGTGACAAAGAAGGTCTCACTATTCAGATATTTGTGACATTAATGAAAAACACGGATTGAACCCCTGAAAGATTGGCGGAAGGATTTTGCACACACAGCTGTCAGCCGTGAAGGCACAAAGGTGAAAACAATCTGATGTGGAAGGAAGAGGCTCTTCCTCAAATGCTGGGAATGATGTGGGGAGAATGACAAGATGACTGTGGAGAGACGGAGAGCACACTGGGTACACAGGAAACTAAGGAGGAACAAGGAGTGTGTGTTTGACACTCACAGCCATTGGATTCACCTCGGGGTAGCCAGGAATCCCTACATGATTAATATGACTGACATGAAAATAAGGGAGGCTCAGTTGCATAACTGGAATCTAGGAGACCGTGGAAAAGGCAATTGCCGCCCCACTGGTGAAATGTGGTGCTGATTTAGACACTAAATGAATGAAGTAGATGGATATAAGATAGGTTTGTGAGGTAGAATCATTGACTGGAAAGGCTTGCTGGGTTTGATTTTCCTACTTGTTTAATCCTCGCTTAATTAATTTCTTTCTGAGATTTATTCATCCTACACATAAATCAATACCTGGCAAAGGAGTGACAGATATATGAGGGGTGGTGGAAATGAAGAGACCTATTATAGCATAATATACAAGTCTGTGAACGGTGGCTCACGCCTGTAACCCAGCACTGCAGGAGGCCAAGGCGGGTGGATCACATGAAGTCAGCAGTTCGAGACCAGCCTGGCCAACATGGTGAAACCCTGTCTCTAGGAAAAACACAAAAATTAGCCGAGCATGGTGGTGCATCCCTGTAATCCCAGCTCCTACTCTGGAGGATGAAGCAGGAGAATGACTTCAACCCAGGAGGTGGAGGTTGCAGTGAGTGGAGGTTGCATCACTGCACTCCAGCCTGGGTGGCACAAGGAGACTCCGTCTCAAAAAATAAAAATAAGAAATGCATAAATATAAATATAATATAACACACGCAAATGACAAAGGGACCTGAATTCCAATCATGATTTTTCTATTTCTCTATAATTACTTCTTTGATCCTTTATCTTATCCATTAGGCAATGAGCCTAAAACCTCTTCCCTATTTGGCTTTCTGTGAGCATGAGATCATATAGAAAATGTGAAAGTCCGCTGAATCCTCCAGCACAGATCCTGGAATAGAGAAAGTGCTCTGGTCATCACAAAAAAAACTTGCCCACTCACCCAAATCCCCCACCTCACCCCTACTTCCAATCACCTGTGGAGATTCAGGTAGACCATGGGGAGGTAAACATTAACACTCCTTGGAGTGAGTCCAGATCTTGGAATCAGAGATCAGCGACAGCACTAGCTCCTGCTCCCCTTTCCTACTAATTCACAGGAGGACAGGTGGTATTGAAGCAATAGATGGCCGAGGGGGTGGTCCTTCCCCCAGCCTCTCGGGTAGAACAGCAGCCTAATATGTGTCTCCCGAGATCACAAAGAGCAGCAGGTTTCACACGGGCTTCAACACTATTTCCTGGCCGTTTGACATAAGAGAATTCTATTTCGCTTTTTTTATCTTGATTTCACTTTTGTTTTCTTTCCTTGGAGAATGCAAGTTGTTTGATTCAAGAATGCTGTGGATGTAGAAACCCTAAAGCACATTCGCTGTGAATCAATCCCAGTCCAGTCTTCCCAGAGAAGACTCTAAACACCTCCTGGACTGCACCTGGGCCTATGCCAATTCCTATCACTCACCGTCACTCCAGGGAGACAGAACACACAGAGAATACGTTACATAGGCAGGTTCATTACTAACAGATAAGCAGCGAGTGACAACAGAAACCTATATTTCAATGTGAGCCAGTCCCTCAAGGCTCAGAAAAGCTCCTCGGGACATATGGAGTCACCCCATTTGCAGTGTAGCTGCGGGAAGCCAGAAAGCAGCCCAGCCTGGGTTTTGTACCCTGGAGCCACAGGAAGCACTCAGCTAAAGCACTGCATGACGTCCTCCAGGAAGAACAGGAAGACAGCCCAGGGTGTTCTGAGACGTTCCTCCTGATCTCAGGAAGTTGCTGTCTTAGGCCATTTTTGTTGCTCTAAAGGAACACTTGAGCCTCGGTAACTTCTAAAGAAAAGAGATTGGTTTGCCTCACCGTTCTGCAGGCTGTACTGGAAGCATGGCACCAGCATCTATTTCTCGTGACGGCCTCAGGCTGCTCCCACTCTGGCAGAAGGGAAGGAGGGTCTGTCTGTGCAGAGACCACAGAGATCACACGGCAAGAGAGGGAGCAAGGGGGAGGGGGAGTGATGGAGCTTCCAAGCTCTTTTTAACAACCAGCTCTCCGGGAACTAATAGAGGGGGAACTTGCTAACCCCGTCTCCTTGGGACAGCATTGATGTGTTCATGATGGATCCACCTCCATGACCCAAACACCTCTCAAGAGGCCCAACCTCCCACAGTGGGGGTGAAATTTCAATGTGAGGTTTGAAGGGGTCAAACATCTCAACTAAAGTAGTCGTATCCTCAGCACGTTCTATGGTTACTATGAGAGCTATAACTGAAAAAGCAGGAGAAAGCTGGGTCTCCTGCCATCTGGGTGCTTGTCCTAAAGAGATGTTTTATGTGGTTACCTGTCAATCAAGAAATGCGAGACAATTCATAAAGAGGAACTGCTAAGATTAGCTTCTTATTGGTGTCTCATCTTCTTCCAGGTAACCCCCGACACCTGCACATTCTGATTGGGACCTCAGTGGTCATCATCCTCTTCATCCTCCTCTTCTTTCTCCTTCATCGCTGGTGCTCCAACAAAAAAAGTAAGTCTCACGAAGCAGAGGCCAGAGAGCTCAGGGCCATGTGGGGAAGCAGGATGGGAGCACTCAGGTGTGTGTTCCTCACAAACAGGATGGTCCCTGGCCCAAGGCAGCAGCCACAGAGGCAGGACTTTCTAGAGAGGGCACCAGACTCCCTGCCCCTGCCTTCAACTCACAGACCGTTGCCTGATTCTGAACTGTATCCTCATGTCCCCTGCAGCCACTCACATCCAGGAGAAGGTTCCATGACAGGCAGAAAGTGGGAGACAGAATCAATGGGATGGGAACTCAGAGCTATTCATGGGATGGGTCCTTGAGCTCAGAGAGATAGAATGTCTGAGTCTGCTGTTGGCAACTGAGGGACCTCAGCCACCTATGGTCTCCCCCTGTATGTTGGTATCTGCTTATGAAATGAGGACCCAGAAGTGCCCTCCGAGCTGTTTTGTTGACTTCCGTCTCCTACAGATGCTGCGGTAATGGACCAAGAGTCTGCAGGGAACAGAACAGCGAATAGCGAGGTAGGTACTCCTCGGCCCGGGCTCGTGGCTACTGTTATTCCCAAAGAGTCCTGGAAAATGTGAGCACCCTCCCTCACTCAGCATTTCCCTCTCTCCAGGACTCTGATGAACAAGACCCTCAGGAGGTGACATACACACAGTTGAATCACTGCGTTTTCACACAGAGAAAAATCACTCGCCCTTCTCAGAGGCCCAAGACACCCCCAACAGATATCATCGTGTACACGGAACTTCCAAATGCTGAGTCCAGATCCAAAGTTGTCTCCTGCCCATGAGCACCACAGTCAGGCCTTGAGGGCGTCTTCTAGGGAGACAACAGCCCTGTCTCAAAACCGGGTTGCCAGCTCCCATGTACCAGCAGCTGGAATCTGAAGGCATGAGTCTGCATCTTAGGGCATCGCTCTTCCTCACACCACAAATCTGAATGTGCCTCTCACTTGCTTACAAATGTCTAAGGTCCCCACTGCCTGCTGGAGAAAAAACACACTCCTTTGCTTAGCCCACAGTTCTCCATTTCACTTGACCCCTGCCCACCTCTCCAACCTAACTGGCTTACTTCCTAGTCTACTTGAGGCTGCAATCACACTGAGGAACTCACAATTCCAAACATACAAGAGGCTCCCTCTTAACGCAGCACTTAGACACGTGTTGTTCCACCTTCCCTCATGCTGTTCCACCTCCCCTCAGACTAGCTTTCAGTCTTCTGTCAGCAGTAAAACTTATATATTTTTTAAAATAACTTCAATGTAGTTTTCCATCCTTCAAATAAACATGTCTGCCCCCATGGTTTCGGTAATGGGACTCTTTTCTTGCCTAAGGCTTCCGGTGTTATCAGTACCATGTCCATATAATCCCATCTGTTCCCCACTGAGTTCTCATCCCCGGACTCTGAGTTTCTGGAAGCAGGGTGGAGCCTCATTTGTCTCTGAGACTCCAATTTCCATCCAAAGATGTAGCACATAGGAGGTTCCAAGGATCACGAATCATATGAACAAGTGATACTCTTACTCTCTGCAGACCTGGAAAGCTGGCAGAGTCATTCCACAATGAAACATTTGTAGAATCATAGGCCTTGTTAGTCTCATCTCCATGGGGACACATATCAACACATCATCTTTCATAATATAAATATACGGTCACTCCTCCATATCTGCGGGGTTTACAGGTGTTTATTGAACCAAGTATAAATCAAAAATATTGAGAGAAAGTATCCACAGAGTTTCAAAAAGCATAACTATGTTGAATGGACACAAATGAAGCTGTGTGTAGGCTGTATCAGGAATTATAAGTAATCTAGAGATGATTTCATGTATACAGGAGGATGTGCATAGGTTATTTGCAAACTCTGTGCCATTTCATATAAGAGGCTTGAGCATCTACAGATTTTGGTATCTGAGTGGAGATCTCAAAACCAATCACCCACGAATAGTGAAGGATGACCGTATATGACTTTTATTTCTCAAATTTAAATATAAATCATAAAAAATGTACAACTAGATAAAAACTAAGAAGTGTTTTTATAGTGTGAGTTAGATTTATTTTTTCCTAGGTGTAACCAATTGGTTTAATATTATTTATTGAGAAGACATTCTATGCCACCTTAAACCACACGGCAGCCTTTGTCAACTCTAAAGGGACTGTGTGTACATGGATGTATTTTAGACACTGTTTCTGCTAAGGGGCTCTCTGTGTCCACACTCTTGATGATGCTGCACTTTATGTAGCCTTATAGAACCCTTTAAATTTAGTAGCCAGAGCCCTCTAATTTGTTATTATAGGCTGTTTGCTTTTTTTTTCTTGAGGCGGAGTCTTGCTCTGTCGCCCAGGCTGGACTGCAGTGACACAATCTCAGCTCACTGCAACCTCCGCCTCCCAGGTTCAAGCGATTCTCGTGCCTCAGCCTCTTGAGCAGCTGGCGTTACAGGTGCCTGCCACCAGGCACGGCTAATTTTTGGATTTTTAACAGAGACACGGTTTCACTATATTGGCCAAGCTGCTCTCAAACTCCTTATCTCAGTTGATCCGCCCACCTCGGCTTCCCAACGTGCTGGGGAAAACTTGATTTTCTATAGCATTATGTTACTGGATATTTCTGTAAAATTTAAAACGAGGGAGGGAGAGAGACAGACAGAGAGCAAACTCCAGAGTTGGGACTCTGGAATCTTGGGTCATGAGACAAATTTTAGATTAAACTACAAAACTCCAGAATTTACAGGTGTGGTTTTTGCTGATAAAGTACAATTCTAAGATTGTAAATAATTGCATAATCCTTCCCTGGGAATTTAAATCATTTTAGCTGGTTCTGCTGTAATACTAGAAATACAAGCATGAAAAATTCTAATGGTTTATTAGTCACAATGACTCCGAAAACATTAATAATACCTATTAGATACTTTGCATATTACACAGGAAGAAGAGTTTGAATCTCAGATAAAAACAAAAAAAATACATGAAAAGTCTTTCATGTTAGCACAGATTTTAGGCATCTCGTGTTCGGATAAAAATACATGAAAAGTCTTTCACGTTAGCACAGATTTTAGGCATCTTGTGTTCGGGAGGTTGGATCTGAGACGTGTTGTGAGTTGGTCATAGTGAAGGACGTGAGGTGCCAATTCTAGTGAGAACAATTTCCAGGAAGCCGTGTTCCGCTCTTGAGCAAGCATCCACTGGGCCTCATGCAAGGTAGAAAGAGCCTGCGTACGTCACCCTCCCATGATGTAGTCAACATGTAAGCTGCATGGGCAGGGCGCCAAATAACATCCTGTGCGCTGCTGAGCTGAGCTGGGGCGCGGCTGCCTGTCTGCACCGGCAGCACCATGTCGCTCATGGTCGTCAGCATGGCGTGTGTTGGTGAGTCCTGGAAAGGAATAGAGGGAGGGAGCGCGGGGATGGAGATCTGGGCCCAGAGGTGGAGATATAGGCCTGGAGGTGGAGTTATGGGCCTGGAGTGGAGATCTGGGCCTGGAGTGGATATATGGGCCTGGAGATGGAGTGATGGGCCTAGAAGTGGAGATCTGGGTCTGGAGTGGAGATATGGGCCTGGAGGTGGAGATATGGGCCTGGAGTGGAGATCTGGGCCTGGAGTGGAGATAGGAACCTGGAGGGGAGATATGAGCCTGGAGTGAAGATATTGGCCTGGGATGGAGATATGGGCCTGGAGTGGAGACATGGGCCTGGAGGTGGAGATATGGGCCTGGAGGTGGAGACATGGGCCTAGAGGTGGATATCTGGGCCTGGAGTGGACATATGGGCCTAGGATGGAGATATGGGCCTGGGTGTGGAGATATGGGCTTGGGGTGGAGATATGGGCCTGGATTGGAGATATGGGTCTAGGGTGGAAATATTGGCCTGGAGTGGAGATATGGGCCTGGAGTGGAGATATGGGCTTGGGGTGGGGATAGGGGCCTGGGGTGCGGATATGGGCCTGCAGGCTGGGTCTCTACACAGCCGACAGCCCTGTTCTTGGGTGCAGGCTGGCACTGAGGGTGAGTTTCCCTTCAGCCCAGCAAGGGCCTGGCTACCAAGACTCACAGCCCAGTGGGGGCAGCAAGGGAGTCCTGGTTTGCCTGCAGATGGATGGTCCATCATGATCTTTCTTTCCAGGGTTCTTCTTGCTGCAGGGGGCCTGGACACATGAGGGTGAGTCCTTCTCCAAACCTTAGGGTGTCATCTCCCCACATAAGAGGATTTTCCTGAAACAGGAGGGAAGCCCGGTGGGGGATTTTCTTATAAACAAGGATGAGGAGACCCTGGGGTGCTCAGCCCACAGTTCCGACCTTGCCCTCCCCAGCCTTCCTTTCCCTTGGCTGAGTCAGGTTCTGTGGGAACCCGGGAGGGTAGACTGGGGTCCTCCAAGCTGGGCTGTGCGGCTGGGATGTGGTGTCACTGGCAGAGGAAGGGAGCAAAGCAGTGCTAGGAACAGCAGGCCTCTGAGGACAAAGGTGTAACTCACACCCTCCAGCGTTTCCATGACGGTAGGGGCTGCAGTGTGGCTGCTGTCATTCTACCTCAGAGGTGGGGGAACCCCAGCCAGGGCCCTGACCTTCCAAATCCTCTGTTGGGGGCTCAGTTGTGTATTGTGGTTCACACATTGGCTGATATTCCATTCACAAAGAACATGCCCTCGACTCCATGTCTATTTGTGTTGTTTTATGTGAGTAATCTTGCAGGATTAAAATCTAGTAGGAGTCCCTTACTCAGCACTTGCTCAAAGTTCTCAGCTGACACTTTTGTTGTAGAGAGACGCCAAGTCTATGCGGGGTGGGTCCTTCCTGTAGCCCTGGGCACCCAGGTGTGGTAGGAGCCTTAGAAAGTGGAAATGGGAGAATCTTCTGACACGTGGAGGGAGGGGCGGCTCCACATCCTCCTCTCTAAGGTGGCGCCTCCTTCTCCCCCAGGTGGTCAGGACAAGCCCTTCCTCTCTGCCTGGCCCAGCCCTGTGGTGTCTGAAGGAGAACATGTGGCTCTTCAGTGTCGCTCTCGTCTTGGGTTTAACGAATTCAGTCTGTCCAAAGAAGACGGGATGCCTGTCCCTGAGCTCTACAACAGAGTATTCCGAAACACCGTTTTCATAGGCCCTGTGACCCCAGCACATGCAGGGACCTACAGATGTCGGGGTTCACACCCACACTTCCTCACTGGGTGGTCAGCACCCAGCAACCCCCTGGTGATCATGGTCACAGGTCAGAGGGCTCCTGTCTGGGATTCTCCTTGTCCCACCTCCTGAGTCCCAGAGCTTCTGGTGGGAGTGTCCACCAGCGTCCCATCATCCAGACCCTAACTGTATTTGGGGTAAAAGGGGATTGAATACAGGGAAATGGGTGCTGTGGTGGAAAGAATAATTGTCCCCAATGATGACTGCATTCTAATCCCTGCAGTCTGTGACTATTTATGTTATAGGGGAAGGCACTGAAGGGGAAGATGGAGCTCAGGTTGTTGAGTTGACCTTGAGATGGGGAGACAGCCTGGACTGTCCTGCTGGGCTCAGTGTAATCACAAGGGTGCACATGAGAGGAGAAGGAAGAGGGGAGTGGCGATTAGAGCAGTGCAATGGAAGTCTCCATCAGCTTTGAAGGTGGAGGAAGGCCATGAGCCATGAATGCAGGTGGCCTATAGAGGCTGGAAAAGTCAAGGAACTGATTCTCCTGGGTCTCCAGAGGGAACGCAGCCCTGCAGATGCCTTGATTTTAGCCCTCAAAAAACAGGGTCCGATTTCTGTCTCCAGAAACGGAAGGGGTCAGTGTGCTCTCTCCTGCTGCCATGCTTCTGATAATTTTCTACAGCACCAACAGGAAACCAACACTGGAACCCAGGTCAAGGACAAGATAAGAAAGGACACAAGGATAGCCGGGCGTGGTGGCAGGTGCATGTAATCCTAGCAACTCAGGAGGCTGAGGGCAGGAGAATCACTTGAACCCAGGAGACAGAGGTTGCAGTGAGCCTAGACCACACCACTTCACTCCAGCCTGGGTGAAGGAGTGAGACTCTGACTCCAAAATTAATTAATTAATTAAAGAAACCAAACAAAGAGAAGGTTGGCTACACCGAGATCAGCAAGGGTGGGATGATGATGCCACCACCAGGCTCCATCCACATAGGGAGGGGTTGATACTCCTCAAACCAGCACCAGAAGCCAGCCTATGGAAGCTGGCACCATGGAGAAGGCACAGGCATGGCAAGAGTGGCTCCCAGTCCCCACCAGGAACAGGGTGTGTGGACACTGGTGCCTGCCTTACTGATCAGTTCATACCTTCTGCCAAGGATTCCAATTCGTCCAAAAGAGATTGAACCAGTCTGCTAAGAGCCTGGACGTGCAGCCTATCCTGGTTCCTCTTCCACCCCCACATAGAAGCAGGAAAGACATTAGTTCGAAATAGATACAACAGCCCAAGAGATGAGGCTGAGCCCAGCGGCAAGGGAATCAGGAGCTACTAGAGACAGAGGGACAGAGAAGAGGGAGGGAGACAGATGGAAGGACCTGTACCAGGAGTTATGGGCACAGAAAAGAACATGAAGACACAGAGAGGAAGGAGAGAGATAAGACACCAGCGAGGGGAAGCCTCACTCATTCTAGGTGCCATGGATGGGATGATAAAGAGAGATGCCTTCTAAAGTCACAACCTCTCTTCCTAGGAGTCCACAGAAAACCTTCCCTCCTGGCCCACCCAGGTCCCCTGGTGAAATCAGAAGAGACAGTCATCCTGCAATGTTGGTCAGATGTCATGTTTGAGCACTTCCTTCTGCACAGAGAGGGGAAGTTTAATGACACTTTGCGCCTCACTGGAGAGCTCCATGATGGGGTCTCCAAGGCCAACTTCTCCATCGGTCGCATGACGCAAGACCTTGCAGGGACCTACAGATGCTACGGTTCTGTTCCTCATTCCCCCTATCAGTTGTCAGCTCCCAGTGACCCTCTGGACATCGTGATTACAGGTGAGAGTGTCTGGACATTATTCTCATTGTCACTGGGACACAGAGTGAATGATCCACGACTTGGAGGCCCAGGTGGTTATAAGGAAGATGAGCTTGGTATTCTTATGGAGAGAGACTAATTTGGTGAGGTCTGTACCAACAGAGACAGAGAAACAGGAGACACAAGTACAGACCAGGTGTCATAACAGAGGACAGACACAGGGGCCATACAGGGAGTTAGAAAAGACAGAAAGAGTTAAAGGAGACACAGACAGACATGTGCCAGAGAGAGGTGTCCTTCCATGCTGACTTTGCTCAGAGACCTGGCACAGGTTAGAAGTTTCATTTCTGTTTTACTTCCACAAAGTGTTCTCTACCAGAAGAACCCAAGGACACCCATATTTCTGGCCTGAGTTGGGCCCTGTGGCCTCAGGCCTTCTGGCACCTACAGATGCCGTGTTTATTCTGACACCTCTGCCTTCCATGCAATGGAGAGTAATCGTCCCAGGATATCATGGCCCCAGAACATCAACCCCTGTATACTGTGTGAACTTGCGGTCCCCAGACTGGATTCTGAGGCTCACATTCCAAATAACCCCACATATGAGAGGATCACTGAGAGACACAGAGAGAAATCAGGGACACCAAAAAGCAAAGACATAAACACACAGAGAATGAGCCAGAGGAAGGAGATTGAGAGACTCACAGACACATAAAGAGGGAGAAAAGAGGGCAGAGAAGTGGAGAGAACAATGGAAGGGAACAGAGAAAAGCACTAAAATTAGAGTCCTGAGGGAGAGGCACAAGGACATAGAAAGATGGAGATGTGGGGATGAATTGCAGAGATTCCAAAGAGAACTAGAGAGACCGAGAGGCAGAGCAAGACAGATGATAGATGGATAGATATAGATAGATGATAAATAGGTAGATGATAGATAATAGGTTATAGATACATAGATGATGATCGATTCATTCATTGATTAATCGATGATACATAGAGATGATGAAGATGAAGATAGATAGATAATACATAGAGATAGAGAGGCAGACAAAGAGAAATCATAGAGAGAGAGAGATGATACATAGATATAGATAATAGATGATTTTTGGATAGACAATTGATAGATAAATAGATTATATATAGATATAGATGACAGGTAGAGAATTTGTAGATAGGCACCAGATAGATAAATAGATATATCGATAGATAATAGATAGAAATATGCAGAAAGTTATGAACAGGACACAAAGTGAGAAACTCAGAATTTAAAAAAAGTAACATCAAGTCAACTAGTCCAAGGAGAGTCAGAGAGAATAAAACAATCCAAAAAGGGAAAACATATCTAGAGGTGAGAAAGTGAGGTCAGAGACCTAGAGAGACAGAGAAGGTGGAAAGAGGAAATAGACATAAAGAGAGATGGTGTGGAGGGTGAGACAGAGAGAGAGAGCATTAGGCCATAGAGCAGGGGAGTGAGTTCTCAGCTCAGGTGGGAGGGGAGTTGTGACAAGGAAGAACCTCCCTGAGGAAACTGCCTCTTCTCCTTCCAGGTCTATGTGGGAAACCTTCTCTCTCAGCCCAGCCGCGCCCCATGGTTAAGGCAGGAGAGAGCGTGACCTTGTCCTGCAGCTCCCGGAGCTCCTATGACATCTACCATCTATCAAGGGAGGGGGAGGCTCATGAACTTAGGTTCCCTGCAGTGCCCAAGGTCAATGGAACCTTCCAGGCCAACTTTCCTCTGGGCCCTGCCACCCACGGAGGGACCTACAGATGCTTCGGCTCTTTCCGTGACTCTCCCTACGAGTGGTCAGACCTTAGTGACCCACTGCTTGTTTCTGTCACAGGTGAGGAAACCAGTCTGTTCCCCAAATAGTGGGACTCAGATGGACTACAATGGCCACATTCAGGGGAGCCTCAGATGGAGGGGGTGGCCATGGGGGTGTCAGCCAGAGATGCTGGACAGAAGAGACACAAAGCAAACATACAGAAAGAGGCATAGACAGACAGACAGAGCGAGGCAGACAGATCACATTAGGGTTTGGGGTGGTAACTGCAACCCTACCTGAAGCTTGCAGATAGAGCACAGGCCACATAAACCACTTCCCAGTCTTTGTACAGAAGCCCACCTGGGACACATGTAAACAGCATCAATGCTGACTCAGGAGCATGAAAGGCCGGGCTCAGATTGGAAAGACTAGAGGTAGCATTGGCCGCCCGCCATTGCCCATTTCCAGAAGCCCCCACCTCTCACCAAAGAGTGATTTCCACATGGGGGGCACAGATGCAACCATCGTTGGGGGAGCCCCAATGTCTCTTGATGGGAGGCATTTTCCACCCTAGATGTTTTTTGCTCTCTCCACACCTTGGAGACTCAGTGGGGGAGTCTTCTCTGGGGACTCGGGGAGGGCCTCCCTGGGACTCGCAGGATTTCCAAGCTAGATGACAACATGACAGGTGGAAACAGGCCCATTCCTTCGCCAGGGGCCCCAAGCTCCATCCCAGGAGATGAGAAGAGGCTCTTCTCATTGGTCAGTGGATCCCTGAGGGGACAGAGGCTCAGCACTGAAGGCTGAGAAGGATCTGCCACTTCGCTCAGTGGCCTCAAGCCAGACATCTTCCCTACAGACTTGCAGTGATTCTCCATCAGCATTTAGGGCTGTGGCCACCAACCTGGGTGTTGGTCTGTAGGAACTTTTCATTTCTGACCTTCCATAACTGAGTTCTCTTCCTAAATGTGGAATGCCTTGTACTCCATGTTACTCTCTCCCCAGAAAGAATGTGTGGCTTGTCTGCTCTCCAGCCCTGTCATGGAGATTGATAATCCTTAGGGAGCAAGAGGAGAGGGAAAGAACAAAGTATGAGACCACCTAGGTGCTACTGGTTGAGGTTCCATTTGCCAGTGAAGGGACTTCACTCAGCCGAGGGGGCAACTCAGGGAAGTCAGCCGAGGGAGGGCATTAGAGTAGAGAGAACTGAGCTCACCCAGTAAATGACCCCTTCACTAACTCATTCATCTAATATTTATTTCACACCTACCATCAGTTCTCTCTGTTTCACGGCCAGGAGTAGACAGCACGGCCAAGCTCCTGGGTTCATGATGCTCACATTGCTGTGGGGTGGGAGAGAGAGGCAGAACATGAATGAATGAATGAGAGAATGAATGAATGAGTGAATGATGGAATGAGTGAATGAATGAATGAATGAATGTATGAATTAGTGAGTGAATCCTTAGCACTTGGTGAAAGTGCCATGCACAGAATGAAATGAATGAACGTGGAACGTTGTCATTTGGAGTGTACAGGAGGGAACGTCTCACTGAGACCTCATCAGAGAGATCACATTTAAACTCCGATCTTAGAGACAAGAGGGAGTGAGCCCTGGGGAGTGTGTTGAAAGGAACTTTCATGGACTTAGGACATTGGGGATGACCCTAATGTGAGAATGAGCTTGGTGTGTTCCAAGAAGTCCATGGACCTGCCATATGGTGAGGGCTGGTCAGAATCCAGAGAGATTTCTAAATGCCCTTGTGCTTGTAAGGAAAGTGAGTCCTGTGGTTGGGAGTGGACTTATACCTTGGGTCAGGTCCAGCAATTATCTTTCTAAATCCTCTCTAATTGCCTGAACCACTTCTATCAACAACTGAGAAAAGAGGAGTGTTAAACACCCCACTGTGGCCGTGGATTTGCCTACCTGTCCATTTATTTCCGCGACTCTTCCTCCATGTATATTTGCAGGAATATTACTGGGAGTGGTTAAGTGTAAACTGATTATATATTCCTGGTAAATTTAAAATGCTATAAATTTACCTGCTTTTTTCCTACATTTTATGCTTAATGTTTTCCGCTGATTTTTCCCAAAGACTAATTTTGTCTAATTTTAATATAGTTATACCACATTTCTAACAGTGATTGCTTGGTATATTTCTACATTGTTTAATTTCAAACTCCATGAATTGTTAACATTGAGATGTGTCCTTTGTAAATTTCAAACAATTCGCCTTAGAAAGTAAGACTTTCTGACAATCTTTTGTTCATGTTTG
>NW_003571056.2:811614-845240 GCF_000001405.40 Homo sapiens
AAACCCTTTAAATTTAGTAGCCAGAGCCCTCTAATTTGTTATTATAGGCTACTTGCTATTTTTTTTTCTTGAGGCGGAGTCTTGCTCTGTCGCCCAGGCGGGACTGTAGTGGAGCAATCTCAGCTCACTGCAACTTCCGCCTCCCAGGTTCAGGCGATTCTCGTGCCTCAGTCTCTTGAGTAGCTGGCGTTTCAGGTGCCTGCCACCAGGCATGGCTAATTTTTGAATTTTTAGCAGAGACGCGGTTTCACTGTGTTGGCCAGGCTGCTCTCAATCTCCTCATCTCAGTTGATCCGCCCACCTCGGCTTCCCGACCTGCTGGGGGAAACTTGATTTTCTATAGCATTATGTTACTGGATATTTCTGTAAAATTTAAAATGAGGGAGGCAGAGAGACAGAGAGAGAGCAAACTCCAGAGTTGGGACTCTGGAATCTTGAGTCATGAGACAAATTATAGATAAAACTACAAAAATCCAGAATTTACATGTGTGGTTTTTGCTGATAAAGTACAATTCTAAGATTGTAAATAATTGCATAATCCTTCCCTGGGAATTTAAATCATTTGAACTGGTTCTGCTGTAATACTAGAAATACAAGCATGAACAATTCTAATGGTTTATTAGTCACAATGACTCTGAAAACACTAATAATACCTATTAGATATTTTGCATATTACACAGGAAGAAGAGTTCGAATCTCAGATAAAAACAATAAAAATTCATGAAAAGTCTTTCATGTTAGCACAGATTTTAGGCATCTCATGTTTGGGAGGTTGGATCTAAGACATGTTTTGAGTTGGTCATAGTGAAGGACGCGAGGTGTCAATTCTAGTGAGAGCAATTTCCAGGAAGCCATGTTCTGCTCTTGAGCGAGCACCCACTGGGCCTCATGCAAGGTAGAAAAAGCCTGCGTACGTCACCCTCCCATGATGTGGTCAACATGTAAACTGCATGGGCAGGGCGCCAAATAACATCCTGTGCGCTGCTGAGCTGAGCTGGGGCGCGGCCGCCTGTCTGCACCGGCAGCACCATGTCGCTCATGGTCATCATCATGGCGTGTGTTGGTGAGTCCTGGAAGGGAATAGAGGGAGGGAGCGTGGGGATGGAGATCTGGGCCCAGAGGTGGAGATATGGGCCTGGAGGTGGAGTTATGGGCCTGGAGTGGAGATCTGGGCCTAGAGATGGAGTGATGAGCCTAGAAGTGGAGATCTGCGCCTGGAGTGGAGATCTGGGCCTGGAGTGAAGATCTGGGCCTGGAGTGGAGATATGGGCCTGGAGTGGGGATAGGAACCTGGAGTGGAGAGAGGAACCTGGAGGAGAGATAGGAACCTGGAGGGGAGGTAGGAGCCTAGGGTGGAGATATGGGACTGGAGTGGAGATATGGGACTGGAGTGGAGATATGGGCCTGGAGTGGAGTTATGGGCCTGGAGTGAAGTTATGGGCCTGGAGGTGGAGATACGGGCCTGGAGTGGAGATATGAGCCTGGAGTGGAGATATGGTCCTGGAGTGGAGATATGGGCCTGGAGTGGAGATATGGGTCTGCAGTGGAGTTATGGGCCTGGAGTGAAGTTATGGGCCTGGAGGTGGAGATATGGGCCTGGAGTGGAGATATGGGACTAGAGTGGAGATAGGGGCCTGGAGGTGGAGATCTGGGCCTGGAGTGGAGATCTGGGCCTGGAGTGGAGATCTGGGCCTGGAGTGGAGATATGGGCCTGGAGTGGAGATATGGGTCTGCAGTGGAGATATGGGCCTGGAGGTGGAGATATGGGCCTGGAGTGGAGTTATGGGCCTGGAGTGAAGTTATGGGCCTGGAGGTGGAGATATGGGCCTGGAGTGGAGATATGGGACTAGAGTGGAGATAGGGGCCTGGAGGTGGAGATCTGGGCCTGGAGTGGAGATATGGCCCTGGAGTGGAGATATGGGCCTGGAGTGGAGATATGAGCCTGGAGTGGAGATATGGCCCTGGAGTGGAGATATGGGCCTGGAGGTGGAGATATGGGCCTGGAGTGGAGTTATGGGCCTGGAGTGAAGTTATGGGCCTGGAGGTGGAGATATGGGCCTGGAGTGGAGATATGGGACTAGAGTGGAGATACGGGCCTGGAGGTGGAGATCTGGGCCTGGAGTGGAGATATGGCCCTGGAGTGGAGATATGGGCCTGGAGTGGAGATATGAGCCTGGAGTGGAGATATGGCCCTGGAGTGGAGATATGGGCCTGGAGTGGAGATATGAGCCTGGAGTGGAGATATGGCCCTGGAGTGGAGATATGGGCCTGGAGTGGAGATATGGGCCTGGAGTGGACATATGGGTCTGGAGTGGAGATACGGGCCTGGAGGTGGAGATATGGGCCTGGAGTGGAGATATGGGCCTGGAGGTGGTGATATGGGCCTGGAGTGTAGACATGGGCCGAGTGGAGATATGGGTCTGGAGTGGAGATATGGGCCTGGAGTGGAGATATGGGACTGGAGTGGAGATATAGGCATGGGGTGGAGACATGGGCCGGGAGTGGAGATATGGGACTGGAGTGGAGATACGGGCGTGGGGTGGAGATATGTGCCTGGAGGTGGAGATATGGGCGTGGGTTGGAGATATGGGCCTGGAGTGGAGATATGGGCGTGGGGTGGAGATATGGATCTGGAGTGGAGACATGGGCATGGGGTGGAGATATGGGCCTGGTGTGTAGATATGGGCCTGGAGTGGAGATATGGCCCTGGAGTGGAGATATGGGCCTGGAGTGGAGATCTGGGCCTACGGTGGAGATATGGGCCTAGGATGGGGATATGGGCCTGGAATGGAGATATGGGCCTGGGTGTGGAGATATGGGACTGGAGTGGAGATATGGGCCTGATGTGGAGATATGGGCTTGGAGTGGAGATATGATCCTGGAGTGTAGTTATGGGCCTGGAGGTGGAGATCTGGGCCTGGGGTGGAGATATGGGCCTGGAGTGGAGATATGGGACTGGAGAGGAGATATGGGACTGGAGTGGAGATATGGGCCTGGAGTGGAGATATGGGCCTGGATTGGAGATATGGGCCGAGGGTGGAGATCTGAGCCTGGATTGGAGATGTGGGCCCGGATTGGCTATATGGGTCTAGGGTGGAAATATCGGCCTGGAGTGGAGATATGGGCCTGGAGTGGAGATATGGGCTTGGGGTGGGGATATGGGCCTGGAGGCTGGGTCTCTGCACAGCCGAGAGCACTGTTCTTGGGTGCAGGTAGGCTCTGATGGTGAGTTTCCCTTCGGCCCAGGAAGGGGCTGGCTATCAAGACTCACAGCCCAGTGGGGGCAGCAAGGAAGGCCTTGTTTGCCTGCAAATGGATCTTCCATCATGATCTTTCTTTCCAGGGTTCTTCTTGCTGCAGGGGGCCTGGCCACAGGAGGGTAAGTCCTTCTCCAAACCTTAGGGTGTCATCTCCCCACATAAGAGGATTTTCCTGAAACGGGAGGGAAGTCCTGTCAGGGAGTCTCTCATAAACTAGGAAGAGGGGACCCTGGGGTGCTCGGCCCACAGTTCCGACCTTGCCTCCCTGGCCTCTCAACCCCTTGGCAGAGTCAAGTTGTGTGGGGACCAGGGTTGGACTAGGGTGTTCAAAGCTGGGTTGTGTGGTGGGGAAGTGGTAGGAACAGCAGATCCTCTGAGGACAAAGGTGTTACTCACACACTTCAGCGTTTCCATGACGGTAGGGGCTGCAGTGTGGCTGCTGTCATTCTACCAGAAGAGGTGGGAAACCACAGCCATGGCCCTGACATTCCAAATCCTCTGATGGGGGCTAAGTTTTTTATTTTCATTCAGGCAACTGCTGATATTCCATTCTCAAAGGACATGCCCTCCACTTCATGTCTACCCTGTGTTGTTTTATGTCAGTAATCTTACAGTATTAAAATCTAGTAGGAGTCTCTTACTCAGCACTTGCTCAAAGTTCTCAGCTGACACTTTTGTTGTACGGAGACACCTTGTCTTTGTGGGATGGGTCCTTCCTTTAGCCCTAGGCACCAAGGTGTGATAGCAGCCATAGAAATGTGGAAAGTGGGGAGAATCTTCTGAGCACAGGGAGGGAGGCACAGCTCCACATCCTCCTCTCTAAGGCGGCGCCTCCTTCACCCCAAGGTGGTCAGGACAAGCCCTTGCTTTCTACCTGGCCCAGCCTTGTGGTGCCTCCAGAACATGTGACTCTTCAGTGTCACTCTAATCTTGGGTTTAACAACTTCAGTCTGTACAAGGATGATGGGGTGCCTGTCCCTGAGCTGTACAACAGAATATTCTGGAAAAGCCTTTTCATGGGCCCTGTGACCACGTCACATGCAGGGACCTATACATGCCGGGGTTCACACACACACTCCCCCAGTGGGTGGTCGGCACCCAGCAACCCCCTGGTGATCGTGGTCACAGGTCAGAGGGCTCCTGTCTGGGATTCTCCTTGTCCCACCTCCTGAATCCCAGAGCTTCTGGTAGGCATGTCCTTGAGGGTCCCATCACGCAGGCCCTAACTGTATTTGGGGTAAAGGGGGATTGAATACAGGGAAATGGGTGCTGTGGTGGGAAGAATAAGTGTCCCCAGTGATGACTGCATTCTAATCCCTGGAGTCTGTGACTATTTATGTTATAGGGGAAGGGACTGAAGGGGAAGATGGAGCTCAGGTTGTTGATGAGTTGACCTTGAGATGGGGAGACAGCCTGGACTGTCCCGGTGGGCTCAGTATAATCACAAGTGTCCACATGAAAGGAGGAGGAAGAGGAGAGTGGGGATTAGAGCAGCGTAGTGGGAGACTCCATCAGCTTTGAAGGTGGATGAAGGCCATAAGCCATGAATGCAGGTGGCCTATAGAGGCTGGGAAAGTCAAGTAACTGATTCTCCTGAGTCTCCAGAGGGAACACAGCCCTGCAGATGCCTTGATTTTAGCCCTCGAAAAACAGGGTCCGCTTTCTGTCTCCAGAATCGGAGGGGGTCAGTGTGCTCTCTCCTGCTGCCATGCTTCTGATAATTTTCTACAGCAGCAACAGGAAACCAACACTGGAACCCAGGTCAAGGACAAGTTAAGAAAAGACACAAGGATAGCCAGGCATGGTGGCAGGTGCATGTAATCCTAGCGACTCGGGAGGCTGAGAGCAGGAGAATCGCTTGAACCCAGGAGACAGAGGTTGCAGTGAGCGTAGACCACACCACTTCACTCCAGCCTGGGTGAAGGAGTGAGACTCTGTCTCCAAAATTAATTAATTAATTAAAGAAACCAAACAAAGAGAAGGTTGGCTACACCGAGATCAGCAAGGGTGGGATGATGATGCCACCACCAGGCTCCATCCACATAGGGAGGGGTTGATACTCCTCAAATCAGCACGAGGAGCCAGCCTATGGAAACTGGCACCATGGAGAAGGCACAGACATGGCAAGAGTGGCTCCCAGTCCCCACCAGGAACAGGGTGTGTGGACACTGGTGCCTGCCTTACTGATCAGTTCATACCTCCTGCCAAGGATTCCAATTCGTCCAAAAGAGATTGAACCAAGCTGCTAAGAGCCGGGACGTGCAGCCTATCCTGCTTCCTCTTCCACTCCCACATAGACAGTAAGAAAGACATTAGTGTGAAATAGATACAACAGCCCAAGAGATGAGGCTGAGCCCAGTGGGAAGGGAATCACAGCTACTAGAGACAGAGGGACAGAGAAGAGGGAGGGAGACAGATGGAAGGACCTGCACCAGGAGTTATGGGCACAGAAAAGAACATGAAGACACAGAGAGGAAGCAGAGAGACAGACACCAGCGAAGGGAAGGCTCACTCATTCCAGGTGCCATGGATGGGATGATAAAGAGAGACACCTTCTAAACTCACAACCTCTCTTCCTAGGAGTCCACAGAAAACCTTCCTTCCTGGCCCTCCCAGGTCACCTGGTGAAATCAGAAGAGACAGTCATCCTGCAATGTTGGTCGGATGTCATGTTTGAGCACTTCCTTCTGCACAGAGAGGGGAAGTTTAACAACACTTTGCACCTCATTGGAGAGCACCATGATGGGGTTTCCAAGGCCAACTTCTCCATTGGTCCCATGATGCCTGTCCTTGCAGGAACCTACAGATGCTACGGTTCTGTTCCTCACTCCCCCTATCAGTTGTCAGCTCCCAGTGACCCTCTGGACATGGTGATCATAGGTGAGAGTGTCCAGACATTCTTCTCATTGTCATTGGGATGCAGAGTGAATGATCCAGGACTTGGAGACCCAGGTGGTTGTAAGGAAGATGAGCTTGGTATTCTTATGGAGAGAGACTGACTTGGTGAGGTCTGTGCCAACAGAGACAGAGAAACAAGAGACACAAGTACAGACCAGGTGTCATAACAGAGGACAAACACAGGGGCCATACAGGGAGTTAGAAAAGACAGAAAGAGTTAAAGGAGACAGACAGACATGTCCCAGACAGAGGTGTCCTTCCATGCTGACTTTGCTCAGAGACCTGGCACAGGTTAGAAGTTTCATTTCTGTTTTACCTCCACAAAGTGTTCTCTACCAGGAGAACCCAAGGACACCCATATTTCTGACCTGAGTTGGGCCCTGTGGCCTCAGGCCTTGTGGCACCTACAGATGCCATGCTTATTCTGACACCTCTGACTTCCATGCAATGGAGAATAATCGTCCCAAAATATCATGGCCCCAGAACACCAACCCCTGTATGCTGTGTGAACTTGTGGTCTCCAGACTGGATTCTGAGGCTCACATTCCAAATAACCCCACATATCACATATGAGAGGATCACTGAGAAGCACAGAGAGAAATCAGGGACACCAAAAAGCAAAGACATAAACACACAGAGAAAGAGCCAGAGGAAGGAGATTGAGAGACTCACAGACACATAAAGAGAGAGAAGAGGGCAGAGAAGTGGAGAGAATGATGGAAGAGAGCAGAGAAAACCACTAAAATTAGAGTCCTGAGGGCGAGGCACAAGGGCATAGAAAGATGGAGATGTGGGGATGAATTGCAGAGATTCCAAAGAGAACTAGAGAGACCGAGAGGCAGAGCAAGACAGATGATAGATGGATAGATACAGATAGATGATGGATAGATATAGATAGATGATATATAGGTAGATGATAGATAATAGGTTATAGATACATAGATGATGATTGATTGATTCATTAATAGATGATACATAGAGATGATGATGATGAAGATAGATGGATAGATAATACATAGAGATAGAGAGGAAGACAAAGAGAGAAATAATAGAGAGAGAGAGATGATACATATATATAGATAATAGATGATTGACGGATAGACAATTGATAGATAAATAGATGATATATAGATATAGATGACAGGTAGAGAATTTGTAGATAGGCACCGAATAGATAAATAGATGGATTGATAGATAATAGATAGAAATATGCAGAAAGTTATGAACGGGACACAAACTGAGAAACTCAGAGTTAAAAAAAGTAACATCAAGTCAACCAATCCAAGGAGAGCCAGAGAGAATAAAACAATCCAAAAACGGAAAACATAACTAGAGGTAGGGAAGTGAGGTCAGAGACCTACAGAGACAGAGAAGGTGGAAGGAGGAAATAGACATGAAGAGAGATAGGGTGGAGGGTGAGACAGAGAAAGAGAGCATTAGGCCATAGAGCAGGGGAGTGAGTTCTCAGGTCAGGTGTGAGGGGAGCTGTGACAAGGAAGATCCCCCCTGAGGAAACTGCCCCTTCTCCTTCCAGGTCTATATGAGAAACCTTCTCTCTCAGCCCAGCCGGGCCCCACGGTTCAGGCAGGAGAGAATGTGACCTTGTCCTGCAGCTCCATCTATCCAGGGAAGGGGAGGCCCATGAACGTAGGCTCCCTGCAGTGCGCAGCATCAACGGAACATTCCAGGCCGACTTTCCTCTGGGCCCTGCCACCCACGGAGGGACCTACAGATGCTTCGGCTCTTTCCGTGACGCTCCCTACGAGTGGTCAAACTCGAGTGATCCACTGCTTGTTTCCGTCACAGGTGAGGAAACCCCATATCTGTCCCATGTCCTATGATCCTAGAGCCTTAGCTGAGGAGCTTCCTGCTGATGATGGAGAGAAGCATGGACAGATGCAGAGAGAAGACGCAGCATGCCTGTGAGGGAGGGATCAGGGCGCAGGATGGCACACACAGCACCTCCAAACCCTCCTGCATGGCCTGCATGGAGGCCTCCGATTAGGGCTCCAGAAACCCAGGCAGATGTAGAAAGCGGTCAGGAGAGACCCAGAGAAGGGGAGACTGGGCTCAGTTTGGGGAGATCAGAGGTTCCCTCAGCCCCTCAACCTTACCCATTTCCCAGAAGCCCTTCCTGGCCTCTCACCCACACAGAGATGTCATCACCAGCAACCCCTACATCCTTTTCTTTTTGTTTGAAAAAATATTCATTGAGGTTAAATATACCTATATAGCTTACCACTTTTAACATTTTTTTTTTTTTGAGGTGGAGTCTAGCTCTGTCTCCTATGCTGGAATGCAGTGGCACAATCTCAGCTCACTGTAACCTCCGCCTCCTGGGTTCAAGCGATTCTCCTGCCTCAGCCACCTGAGTAGCTGGTACTACAGGCGCCCATCACCACGCCGGGCTACTTTTTGTATTTTTAGTAGAGAGGGGGTTTCACCATGTTGGTCGAGCTGCTCTGGAACTCCTGACCACGTGATCCACCCGCCTCAGGCTCCCAAAGTGCTGGGATTACAGGCATGAGCCACCGCGCCCGGCCACGTTTACCAATTTTAAGTGTAAGGTCTAGTGGTCATAAATACATACATATAAATTTTTTGTTTGTTTGTTTTATCCTCCACCCTTTTCTTCCTGGCCTCTGGTAGCCACCATTCTACTCTCTATCTTCATGAGATCCACCTTTTAGCTCCTGTATATGGGTGAGAAATGAGAATATTTGTAATGACTTCCAGTTCCATCCATGTGGCTGCAAATATCAGGATGTTATTCTTTCTATGGATGAGTAGTCTCCGCTGTGCGTATGTACTACATTCTCTCTATCCATTCATCCACTGATGGGCAGGTAGGTTGACTCCACATCTTGGCTACTGTGAAGAGTGCTGCACCAATCATACGAGTGCAGATATCACTTCGATACATTGATTTACTTTCCTTTGGATATAAACCCAGTAGTGAAATTGCTGGATACTATGAAAGTTCTCTTTTTAGTTTTTCGTTTGTTGTTTTGTTTTTGTTTTTGAGACAGTTTCCCTCTGTGCCCAGGCTGGAGTACAAGTGATGTGATCTTGGCTCATTGCAACCTCCGCCTCCTGGGTTCAAATGATTTTCCTGCCTCAGCCTCCCTAGTAGCTGGGATTACAGGTGCACGCCACCATGCCGGGATACTTTTTGGTTTTTTTTAGTGTACATGGGGTTTCCCCAGGTTGGCTAGGCTGCTCTCAAACTCATGACCTCAACTGAGGTGCCCGCCTCGGTCTCCCAAAGTGCCGGGATTACAGGCATGATCCACTTCATCCAACCTCTTTTTAGTTCTTTAAAGGACTTCCATACTTTTCTCCGTAATGGCTGTACTAATTTACACTCCTACCAACAGGGTACCAGGGTTCTCCTTTCTCTACCACCTTGCCAGCATTTGTTTTGCCTGTCTTGCAGCTAAAAGCCATTTTATTTTATTTCATTTTATTTTGAGATGGAGTTTCGCTCTTGTCACCCAGGCTGGAGTGCAGTGGTGCGATCTCGGCTCACCGCAACCTCCACCTCCCAGGTTCAAGCGATTCTCCTGCCTCAGCCTCCCGAGTAGCTGGAATTACAGGCACACGCCACCACGCCCGACTAATTTTTGTATTTTTAGTAGAGACAGCGTTTCTCCATGTGGGTCAGACTGGTCTCAAACTCCCGACCTTATGAGATTCGCCCACCTCGGGCTCTCAGAGTTCTAGGATGACAGACGTGAGCCACCTCGCCCGGCCTAAAAGCCATTTTAATGGGGTGAGATGAAAACTCACTTTGATTTTAATTCGCGTTTCTCTGATGATGAGTGATACTGAGCACTTTTTCGTATGTGGGGAAATTTCATGTCTTTTGCTCCTTTTTCAATTAAATCATTTGTTTTATTGAGTTGTTTGAGCTTCTTATACTTCTAGTTATTAATCCCGTCTCAGATGCATAGTTTGCACATATTTGCTCCCAATCTGTGGGTTGTCTCTTCACTTTGTTGGTTTATTTTTAGCGGTGCAGAAGTTGCTTAGTTTGAGGTAATCCCAATGGTCTATTTTTGCTTCGATTACTTGTGTTTTGAAGGTTTAAAACAAAATGTCTTCCTTCAGACAAATGTACTGGAGCATTTCCCCAATATTTTCTTCTACGTGTTTCACAGGTTCAGGCCTTAGACTCACATCTTGAATCCACTTTCATTTGATTTTTGTGTATGGTGACAGGTAGAGGTGCAGTTTCATTCCTCTGCATGTAGATGTCCAGGTTTCCCTGCACTGTTTATTGAAAAAACTGTCCTTTCCTGATTGTGAGTTCTTGGCACCTTTGTCAAAGTCCATTGGATGGGCTGGGCATGGTGGCTAACACCAGCAACTTCAGCACTTTGGGAGGCCAAGGCTGGTGGATCACCTGAGGACAGGAGTACAAGATTACTCTGGCCGACGTGATGAAACCTCGTCTCCACTAAAAATATAAAAATTAGCTGAGCATGGTGGTCAGCACCTGTAATACTACTACTCAGGAGTTTGAGGCAAGAGAATTGATTGAACCCAGGAGGCTGAGGTTGCAGTGAACCGAGATTGCACCTCTGCACTCCAGCCTGGGTGACAGAGCGAGACTCCATCTCAAAAGAAAAAATAAAAAAAATTGGATGTAAATGCATGGATTATATCTGTGTTCTTCATTCTGCTCCGTTGTTCTATGTGCCTTTCTTCATGCCAACATCATGCTGTTTTGCTTACTACAGCTCTGTAACATATTTTGAGATCAGGTAGTGTGATGCTCCTGTTTTCTCTTTATACCTTGAAGTCTCAAGACAGTGGGCGTCACATACAAAAATTATGGAAGAAAGGATCCCTGGACTCCCAGGGCCCAATGTTAGATAACAGAGTGTTGGCCATGAACCAAACTCAAAGATTTCCACTGAGTAGAGGACAGACACCCTCATTTCCTCACCTCTCTCCTGTCTCATGTTCTAGGAAACCCTTCAAATAGTTGGCCTTCACCCACTGAACCAAGCTCCAAAACCGGTGAGTACAGGACCCTCTTATATCCGCTTTTGGAACCCTGGGGAGGTGGAAACCTTGGATTCAGGCGTTGACTCAGCATCTCACAGCTCTGACATTGTACGCCTGTCTTCTACCATCTCCGAACTCCAGATACTCCAACAGCGAAAGGGATCTGGGCCCAACACAGGGCTCAGTGAAATCTCTTCATCTCTCATTTTATGGAGCTGAGACCTCCTACAAGCTAGAAGAATGATTGCCAATCTGACATCCTTCTCAGGAAAAACGCAATGTTTGTTCTGCTTGCATTCCTAACTGGAGGATAAATTCCTGGGGGCTTGAGAGAGGGAAGGGAAGCGAACATCTGATGAGGGCGAGGTGTTTTAGAGAAGTTCCACTTGCCAAGGAATGAGCTCCTGTTGGTCATGAAACAACCCTGGCTGACTCAGCAGAGCAAGAGCCTTGCCGTAACAGAGAACAGAGCTCATGCACGCACACTTTGACTCACTGACTTATTCAGCCACGGCCCCATGCTCAGGTTGTGCAGTGTGGAAGCTTTTCCTATTGTTGCCATAACAAATTTCCACAAGATTCGTGGGTGAAAACAAAACGGTTATTTAATTATCTTACAGTGCTCTAGCTCAAAGCATGAAGTGCATCTCACTGGGCTAAAATCAAGATGACAGCAAGCCTGCCTTCCCTCTGAGGATTCCAGGCAAGAATCTGCTTCTCACTTGTCCCATCTTATAAAGGCTCCCAGTTCCTTGGCTGCTGGTCCCTTTCCTCCTTCCTCAAAACCCACAAAGACTGGTCACATCTCACATGGCATCACTCAGACCCTTCTTCCTTACCACACCTCTTTCTCTGAATGCTGCTCTCCCTTCTTCCTCATCTTTTGAAAACTTGGGGATTCTATTGGGTTCACCAAGATGAAAATCCGTCATAATCTCCCGGAAATCATTCAGGATACCCTTGTTTTAAGTTCAGCTGATTAGCAACCATAATTCCATCTGCAATCTTCATTCCTCCTTTCCATGTAAAATAACATATTCACAAGCTATGGAGGCTAGGACAGGGACATTTTGGGGTGGGACAGCATTCTCCTGCCTTCCACAAATGGTGAACAAGATGCATTTGGCCTCTGCTCTTGGGACACTGATATTGCAGATGGTTAAATGGGAGGACAGAAAATGAATGCACAAGTGGACCAATAAATGAATGATCCATTGGGAAGCATCTGTGCATGAAATCTATTTGTTTGTTCGTTCGTTTGTTTATTGAGACAGAGTCTCCCTCTGTCTTCCAGGCTACAGTGCAGTGTCACGATCTTGGCTCACTGCAACCTGCGTCTCCTGGATCCAAGTGATTCTCCTGCCTCACCCTCTCGAGTAGCTGGGATTACAGGCAACTGCCACCATGCCCGGCTAATTCTTTTTGTATATTTTTTGTAGAGAGGATGTTTCACCATGTTGGCCAAGCTTGTCTGAAACTCCCAACCTCAAGTGATCCGACCATCTCAGCAACCCAAAGTACTGGGATTACAGGCGTGAGCCACTTTGCCCAGCCAGAATTCAAAATAAATAATAGATAATGCTGAGTGTATAATTTTGGGTGACAGAGAAGGTCTCACTAATCAGATATTTGTGACATTAATGAAAAACACGGATTGAACCCCTGAAAGATTGGCGGAAGGATTTTCCACACACAGCTGTCAGCTGTGAAGGCACAAAGGTGAAAACAATCTGATGTTGAAGGAAGAGGCTCTGCCTGAAATGCTGGGAATGAGGTGGGGAGAATGACAAGATGACTGTAGAGAGATGGAGAGCACTCTGGGTACACAGGAAACTAAGGAGGAACAAGGAGTGTGTGTTTGACACTCACAGCCATTGGATTCACCTCGGGGTAACCAGGAATCCCTACATGATTAATAGTGACTGACAAGAAAATAAGGGAGGCCCAGGTGCGTAACTGGAATCTAGGAGACTGTGGAAAAGGCAATTGCCGCCCCACTGGTGAAATGTGGTGCTGATTTAGACACTAAATGAATGAAGTAGATGGATATAAGATATGCTTGTGAGGTAGAATCATTGGCTGGAAAGGCTTGCTGGGTTTGATTTTCCTACTTGTTTAATCCTCGCTTAATTAATTTCTTTCTGAGATTTATTCATCCTACACATAAATCAATACCTGGCAAAGGAGTGACAGATATATGAGGGGTGGTGGAAATGAAGGGACCTATTATAGCATAATATACAAGTCTGTGAACGGTGGCTCATGCTTGTAACCCAGCCCTGCAGGAGGCCAAGGCGGGTGGATTCCATGAAGTCAGGAGTTCCAGACCAGCCTGGCCAACATGGTGAAACCCTATCTGTACTAAAAATACAAAAATTAGCCGAGCATGGTGGTGCATCCCTGTAATCCCAGCTCCTACTCTGGAGGATGAAGCAGGAGAATGACTTCAACCCAGGAGGTGGAGGTTGCAGTGAGTGGAGATTGCATCACTGCACTCCAGCCTGGGTGACACAAGGAGACTCCGTCTCAAAAAATAAAAATAAGAAATGCATAAATATAATAAAACACACACGAATGACAAAGGCACCTGAATTCCAATCATCATTTTTCTATTTCTCTATAATTACTTCTTTGATCCTTTATCTTATCCATTAGGCAATGAGCCTAAAACCTCTTCCCTATTTGGCTTTCTGTGAGCATGAGATCACATAGAAAATGTGAAAGCCCGCTGAATCCTCCAGCACGGATCCTGGAATAGAGAAAGTGCTCTGGTCATCGCAAAAAAAAACTTGCCCACTCACCCAAATCCCCCACCTCACCCCTACTTCCAATCACCTGTGGAGATTCAGATAGACCATGGGGAGGAAACATTAATACTCCTTGGAGTGAGTCCAGATCTTGGAATCAGAGATCAGCGACAGCACTAGCTCCTGTTCCCCTTTCCTACTAATTCACAGGAGGACAGGTGGTATTGAAGCAATAGATGGTCGAGGGGGTGGTCCTTCCCCCAGCCTCTCGGGTAGAACAGCAGCCTAACATGTGTCTCCCGAGATCACAAAGAGTAGCACATTTCACACGGGCTTCAACACTATTTCCTGGCTGTTTGACATAAGAGAATCTTGCTTCGCTATTTTTAATCGTGATTTCACCTTTGTTTCCTTTCCTTGGTGAATGCAATTTGTTTGACTCAAGAATGCTGTGGATGTAGAAATCCTAAAGCACATTCGCTGTGTATCAATCCCAGTGCAGTCTTCCCAGAGAAGACTCTAAACAAATCCTGGACTGCACCTGGGCCTATGCCAATTCCTATCACTCACCGTCACTCCAGGGAGACAGAACACACAGAGAATACGTTACATAGGCAGGTTCATTACTAACAGATAAGCAGCGAGTGACAACAGAAGCCTGCATTTCAATGTGAGCCAGTCCCTCAAGGCTCAGAAAAGCTGCTCGGGACATATGGAGTCACCCCATTTGCAGTGTAGCTGCGGGAAGCCAGAAAGCAGCCCAGCCTGGGTTTTGTACCCTGGAGCCACAGGAAGCACTCAGCTAAAGCACTGCATGACGTCCTCCTCCAGGAAGAACAGGAAGACAGCCCAGGCTGTTCTGAGACATTCCTCCTGATCTCAGGATGTTGCTATCTTAGTCCATTTTTGTTGCTCTAAAGGAACACTTGAGCCTGGGTAACTTCTAAAGAAAAGAGATTGGTTTGCCTCACAGTTCTGCAGGCTGTACTGGAAGCATGGCACCAGAATCTATTTCTCGTGACGGCCTCAGGCTGCTCCCACTCTGGCAGAAGGGAAGGAGGGTCTGTCTGTGCAGAGACCGCAGAGATCACACGGCAAGAGAGAGAGTAAGGGGGAGAGGGAGCGATGGAGCTTCCAAGCTCTTTTTAACAACCAGCTCTCCAGGAACTAACAGAGGGGGAACTTGCTAACCCCGTCTCCTTGGGACAGCATTGATCTGTTCATGATGGATCCACCTCCATGACCCAAACACCTCTGAAGAGGCCCAACCTCCCACAATGGGGGTGAAATTTCAATGTGAGGTTTGAAAGGGTCAAACATCTCAACTAAAGTAGTTGTATCCTCAGCACGTTCTATGGTTACTATGAGAGCTATAATTGAGAAAGCAGGGGAAAGCTAGGTCTCCCGCCATTTGGGTGCTTGTCCTAAAGAGACGTTGTATGTGGTTACCTGCCAATCAAGAAATGCGAGACAATTCATAAAGAGGAACTGCTATGATTAGCTTCTTATTGGTGTCTCCTCTTCTTCCAGGTAACCCCAGACACCTACATGTTCTGATTGGGACCTCAGTGGTCAAAATCCCTTTCACCATCCTCCTCTTCTTTCTCCTTCATCGCTGGTGCTCCGACAAAAAAAGTAAGTCTCACGAAGCAGAGGCCAGAGAGCTCAGGGCCATGTGGGGAAGCAGGATGGGAGCACGCGGATGTGTGTTCCTCACCAGCAGGATGGTCCCTGGCCCAAGACAGGAGCCACAGAGGCAGGACTTTCTAGAGAGAGCACCAGATTCCCTTCCCCTGCCTTCAGCTCACAGACCATTGCCTGATTCTGAACTGTATCCTCACGTCCCCTGCAGCCACTCACATCCAGGAGAAGGTTCCATGACAGGCAGAAAGTGGGAGATAGAATCAATGGGATGGGACCTCAGAGCTATTCATGGGATGGGTCCTTGAACTCAGAGAGATAGAATGTCTGAGTCTGCTGTTGGCAACTGAGGGACCTCAGGCACCTATGGCCTCCCCCTGTTTGTTGGTATCTGCTTATGAAATGAGGACCCAGAAGTGCCCTCCGAGCTCTTTTGTTGACTTCCGTCTTCTACAGATGCTGCTGTAATGGACCAAGAGCCTGCAGGGAACAGAACAGTGAACAGCGAGGTAGGTGCTCCTCCGCCCAGCCTCGTGGCTAGTCTTATTCCCAAAGAGTCCTGAAAAATGTGAGCACCCTCCCTCACTCAGCATTTCCCTCTCTCCAGGATTCTGATGAACAAGACCATCAGGAGGTGTCATACGCATAATTGGATCACTGTGTTTTCACACAGAGAAAAATCACTCGCCCTTCTGAGAGGCCCAAGACACCCCCAACAGATACCAGCATGTACATAGAACTTCCAAATGCTGAGCCCAGATCCAAAGTTGTCTTCTGTCCACGAGCACCACAGTCAGGCCTTGAGGGGATCTTCTAGGGAGACAACAGCCCTGTCTCAAAACCGGGTTGCCAGCTCCCATGTACCAGCAGCTGGAATCTGAAGGCATCAGTCTTCATCTTAGGGCATCGCTCTTCCTCACACCACGAATCTGAACATGCCTCTCTCTTGCTTACAAATGTCTAAGGTCCCCACTGCCTGCTGGAGAGAAAACACACTCCTTTGCTTAGCCCACAATTCTCCATTTCACTTGACCCCTGCCCACCTCTCCAACCTAACTGGCTTACTTCCTAGTCTACCTGAGGCTGCAATCACACTGAGGAACTCACAATTCCAAACATACAAGAGGCTGCCTCTTAACACAGCACTTAGACACGTGCTGTTCCACCTCCCTTCAGACTATCTTTCAGCCTTCTGCCAGCAGTAAAACTTATAAATTTTTTAAATAATTTCAATGTAGTTTTCCCGCCTTCAAATAAACATGTCTGCCCTCATGGTTTCGGTAACGAGACTCTTTTCTTGCCTAAGGCTTCCGGTGTTATCATTACCATGTCCACATAACCCCATCTGTTCTCCATTGGGTTCTCAGCCCTGGACTCTGAGCTTCTGGAAGCAGAATGGAGCCTGATTTGTCTCTGAGACTCCAATTTCCATCCAAAGATACAGCACATAGGAGGCTCCAAGGATCGTGAATCACATGAACAAGTGATATTCTTACTCTCTGCAGACCTGGAAAGCTGGCAGAGTCATTCCACGATGAAACATTTGTAGAGTCATAGGCCTTGTTAGTCTCATCTCCACGGGGACACATATCAACATATCATCTTTCATAATATAAATATACAGTCGGTCCTCCATATCTGTGGGGTTTACAGGTGTTTATTGAACCAACAATAAATCAAAAATATTTTCAGAAAAAAATCCCCGAAGTTTCAAGAAGCAAAAAACTATGTTGAATCGACACAAATTGAGTGGCGTGTAGGCTGTGTCAGGAATTATAAGTAATCAAGGGATGATTTCATGTATACAGGAGGATGTGCATGGGTTCTATGCAATTGCTATGCTATTTTTTTTTTTTTTTGAGACAGTCTCACTCTCTCACCCAGGCTGGAGTGCAGTGGCATGATCTCAGCTCACTGCAACCTCCGCCTCCCAGGTTCAAGCGATTGTCTTCCCTCAGCCTCCCCAGTAGCCTCCCCTAGGATTACAGGCACGTGCCACCATGCACAGATAAATTTTTTTGTGTGTGTATTTTTAGTAGAGACGGGGTTTCAGAATGTTGGACCAGCTGGTCTTGAACTCCTGACCTCGTGATCTACCCAACTCAGCCTCCCAAAGTGCTGGGATTACAGGCGTGAGCCACGGTGCCCAGCTTCGCTATGCCATTTCATGCAAGGGGCTTGAGCATCTGCAGATTTTGGTATCTGAATGGGGATCCTGGAACCAATCACCCAGGAATAGTGAAGGACCACAGTATATAATTTTTATTTGTCAATCTTAAAAATAAAGCATAAAAAGTTTACAACAACAAGATAAAAAATAAGAAGTGTCTTTATAGTGTGAGGATAAGTTTAGATTTATTTTTTCCTACGTGTAACCCTATGGTCCTGTGTTATTTGTTGAGAAAATATTCTATTCCACCTTAAACTACATGGCAGCCTTTGTCAACTATAAAGGGACTGTGTATCCACAGATGTATTTTAGACACAGTTTTCTGCCCAGTGGTTCTCTGTATCCCCTCTCATGAGGATGCTGCATTTCATATAAACTTATAGAACCCCTTAAAATTTGGTAACCTGAGTTCTCTGATTTGTTATTATAGGTTATTTAGTTTGCTTTTTTTTTTCTTTCTTGAGACAGACTCTTCCTCTGTCACCCAAGCTGGAGTTCAGTGGCTTGAGCTCAGCTCACTGCAGCCTCCGCCTCCCAGGTTCAAGCAATTCTCGTGCCTCAGGTTTAGTACTAGAAACTCATCAGGAAAATTAGAATGGCTTTTTGTCACAATTACTCTGATAATGTTAATAATACCTCTTAGATATTTTGCACATTACACATGAAGAAAAGTTTGAATCTCAGATAAAAACAAAAATACATCAAAAGTCTTTAATGTAAGCACAGAATTCAATCACCTCATGTGTGAGAGGTTGGATCTGAGACGTCTTTTGAGTCTGGTCATAGTGAAGGATGCAAGGTGGCAATTGTAGTCACAACAATTTCCAGGAAGCCATGTTCCGCTCTTGAGCGAGCACCCACTGGGCCTCATGCAAGGTAGAAAGAGCCTGCGTACGTCACCCTCCCATGATGTGGTCAACATGTAAACTGCATGGGCAGGGCGCCAAATAACATCCTGTGCGCTGCTGAGCTGAGCTGGGGCGCGGCCTCCTGTCTGCACCGGCAGCACCATGTCGCTCACGGTCGTCAGCATGGCGTGCGTTGGTGAGTCCTGGAAGGGAATAGAGGGAGGGAGAGTGGGGATGGAGATCTCGGCCTAGAGGTAAAGATATGGGCCTGGAGTGGAGATATGGGCCTGGAGTGGAGATATGGGCCTGGGTGTGGAGATATGGGCCTGGAGGTGTAAATATGGGCCTGGAGTGGAGATATGGGCCTGGAGGGGAGATATGGGCCTGGGTGTGGAGATATGGGCCTGGAGTGGAGATACGGGCCTGGAGTGGAGATATGGGCCTGGAGTGGAGATATGGGCCTGCAGGTGGAGATCTGGGCCTGGAGTGGAGATATGGGCCTGGAGTGGAGATATGGGTCTGATGTGGAGATATGGGCCTGGAGTGGAGATATGGGCCTGGAGTGGAGATATGGGCCTAGAGGGGAGATCTGGGCCTGGAGTGGAGATATGGGTCTGATGTGGAGATATGGGCCTGGAGTGGAGATATGGGCCTGGAGTGGAGATAGGGGCCTGGAGTGGAGATATGGGCCTGGAGTGGAGATCTGGGCCAGGAAGTGTTGATCTGGGCCTGGAGCCTGGGTCTCTCCACAGCTGAGAGCCCTGTTCTTGGCAGCAGGTAGCAGGGAGGCTAAGTTTACCTTCAGCCCAGCAAGGGCCTGGCTGCCAAGACACACAGTGCAGTGGGGGCAGCAGGGTGCCCTGGTTTGCCTGCAGTTGGATCGTCTATCATGATCTTTCTTTCCAGGGTTCTTCTTGCTGCAGGGGGCCTGGCCACTCATGGGTGAGTCCGTCCCCAAACCTTAGGGTGTCATCTCCCCACATAAGAGGATTTTTCTGAAACAGGAGGGAAGTCCTGTCGGGGAGTCTCTCATAAACTAGGAAGAGGGGACCCTTGGATACTCGGCCCACATTTCTGACCTCGCCCTCCCTGGCCTTTCTTTCCCTTTCCTGAGTCAAGCTCTGTGAAGACTGGGGTGAGACTGGGGTGCTCCAAGCTGGGGTGTGCAGGGAGGAAGTGGTGTCAGCAGCAGAGAAAGAGAGGGAAGCAGTGCTAGGAACAGCAGGTCCTCTGAGGACAAAGGTATAACTGACACCCTCCAGCGTTTCCGTGACGGTAGGGGCTGCAGTGTGGCTGCGGTCTTTCTACCAGAAGAGGGGGGAAACCACAGCCATGGCCCTGACATTCCAAATCCTCTGAGGGGGCTCAGTTCATGAATTGGCTGATATTCCATTCACATAGGACATGCCCTCCATGCCGTGTCTACTTTGTGTTGTTTTATGTGAGTAATTTTGCAGTATTAAAATCTAGTAAGAGTCACTTATTCAGCACTTGCTCAAAGTTCTCAGCTGACACTTGTTGTAGGGAGACGCCATGTCTATGTGGGGTGGGTCCTTCCTGTAGCCCTGGGCACCCAGGTGTGGTAGGAGCCTTAGAAAGCGGAAATGGGAGAATCTTCTGAGCACAGGGAGGGAGGGGTGGCTCCACATCCTCCTCTCTAAGGCAGTGCCTCCTTCTCCCCCAGGTGGTCAGGACAAACCCTTCCTGTCTGCCCGGCCCAGCACTGTGGTGCCTCGAGGAGGACACGTGGCTCTTCAGTGTCACTATCGTCGTGGGTTTAACAATTTCATGCTGTACAAAGAAGACAGAAGCCACGTTCCCATCTTCCACGGCAGAATATTCCAGGAGAGCTTCATCATGGGCCCTGTGACCCCAGCACATGCAGGGACCTACAGATGTCGGGGTTCACGCCCACACTCCCTCACTGGGTGGTCGGCACCCAGCAACCCCCTGGTGATCATGGTCACAGGTCAGAGGCTTTCTGTCTGGGCTTCTCACTGTCCCACCTCCTGAATCCCAGAGCTTCTGGTGGGGGTGTCCATCAGGGTCCCATCACCCAGGCCCCAACTGTATTTGGGGTCAAGGGAGATTGAATACAGGGGAAATGGGTGCTGTGGTGGGAAGAATAACTGTCGCCAATGATGGCTACATTGTAAACCCTGGAGCCTGTGACTATTTATGTTATAGGGCAGGGGACTGAAGGGGAAGGTGGAGCTCAGGTTGTTGATGAGTTGACCTTGAGATGGGGAGACAGCCTGGACTGTCCTGCTGGGCTCAGTGTAATCACAAGGGTCCGCGTGAGAGGTGGAGGAAGAGGGGAGTGGGGATTAGAGCAGTGTAGTGGGAGGGAGACGCTATCAGCCACTGTGGGCTTTGAAGGTGGAGGAAGGCCACTAGTCACAGAATGCAGGTGGCCTCTAAGGGCTGGAGAAGTCAAGAGAACTGATTTGCTGAGTCTCCAGAGGGAACGCAGCCCTGCAGATGCCTTGATTTCAGCACAGGGAGAACTGGATCCAATTTCTGTCCCCAGAAGTGGAAGGGGTCAGTGTGTTCTCTCCTGCTGCCATGTTTGTGATAATTTTCTGCAGCAGCAACAGGAAACCGACACAGGAACCCAGGTCAAGGACAAGCTAGGAAACCAAACAAGGATAGCCAGGTGTGGTGGTGGGCACGAGTAATCCAACGACTGGGGAGGCTGAGGCAAGATAATCACTTGAACCGGGGAGGCAGAGGTTGCAGTGAGCCAAGACAACACCACTGCACTCCAGCCTGGGTGAAAAAGTGACTGTCTCAAAAATAAATTAATTAATCAATTAATTAAAGAAACCAAACAAGGAGAAGGTTGGCTACCGTGGGATCAGCAAGGGTGGGATGCTGATGCCACCACCAGGCTCCATCCACATAGGAAGGGGTTGATGCTCCTGGAACCAGCACCAGGGACCACCCTATGGAAGCTGGGGCCATGGAGAAGGCACAGACATGGCAGGAGAGGCTCCCAATCCCCATCAGGAACAGGGTGTGTGGACACTGATGTCTGCCTTACTGATGAGTTGATACCTCTGCCAGAGACTCCAATTTGTTCAAAAGAGATTGATTCAGGCTGCTGAGAGCCTGGACATGCAGCCTGTCCTCTTCCACCCCCACATAGACAGCAGGAAAGAGACTAGTGGGAAAGAGATACAACAGCCCAAGAGATGAGGCTCTCTTCACAGTGGGAAGGGAGTCAGGGGCTACTGGAGACAGAGGGACAGAGAAGAGGGAGGAAGACAAATGGAGGGACCTGCACCAGGGGATATGGGCACAGAAAAGACACGGAGACACAGAGAGGGAGGAGAGAGACAGACCTCTGGGAGGGGAACCCTCACTCATTCCAGGTGCCATGGATGGGATGATAAAGAGAGATGCCTTCTAAACTCACAACTTCTCTTTCTAGGAAACCACAGAAAACCTTCCCTCCTGGCCCACCCAGGGCCCCTGCTGAAATCAGGAGAGACAGTCATCCTGCAATGTTGGTCAGATGTCATGTTTGAGCACTTCTTTCTGCACAGAGAGGGGATCTCTGAGGACCCCTCACGCCTCGTTGGACAGATCCATGATGGGGTCTCCAAGGCCAACTTCTCCATCGGTCCCTTGATGCCTGTCCTTGCAGGAACCTACAGATGTTATGGTTCTGTTCCTCACTCCCCCTATCAGTTGTCAGCTCCCAGTGACCCCCTGGACATCGTGATCACAGGTGAGAGTGTCCAGACATTCTTCTCATTGTCATTGGGACACAGAGTGAATGATCCAGGACTTGGAACCCCCAGGTGGTCATGAGGAAGATAAGCGTGGGATTCTTATGGAGAGAGACTGACTCGGTGAGGTCTGTACCAACAGAGACAGGGAAACAGGAGACATAAGTACAGACCAGGTGTCATAACAGAGGACAGACACAGGGGCCATACGGGGAAGTAGAAAAGAGAGAAAGAGGTAAAGGAGACACTCAGACAGACAGACATGTGCCAGAGAGAAGTGTCCTTCCATGCTGACTTTGCTCAGAGACCTGGCACAGGTTAGAAGTTTCATTTCTGTTTTGTCTCCACAAAGTGCTTCTACGAGGAGAACCCAAGGACACCCATATTTCTGACCTGAGTTGGGCCCTGTGGCCTCAGGCCTTGTGGCATCTACAGATGCCATGTTTATTCTGACACCTCTGCCTTCCATGCAGTGGAGCCATAATTATCCCAGGATATCATGGCCCCAGAACACCAACCCCTAAATACTGTGTGTACTTGGTGTCCCCAGACTAGATTCTGAGGCTCATATTCCAAATAATCCTACATATAATAGGATCACTGAGAGACACAGAGATAAATCAGGGACTTCAAAAAGCAAAGGCATAAACACACAGAGAATGAGCCAGAGGAAGGGGATTGAGAGACTCACAGACACACAAAAAGAAAGAAAAGAGGGCAGAGGAGTGGAGAGAATGCTGGAAGGGAGGAGAGAAAAGCCCCAAAATCAGAACCCTGAGGGAGGGGCACAAAGACAGAGAAAGATAAAGATGTGGGGATGGATTGCAGAGATTCCAAATAGAACTAGAGAGACTGAGAGGCAGAGAAAGACAAGGAGATGGAGAGAGACAGATGATAGATGGATAGATAGATATAGATAGATGATAAATAGGTAGATGATAGATAATGGATAGGTTATAGATACATAGATGATGATTGATAGATGATACATAGAGATGATGATGATGATGATGAAGATAGATAGAAGACACATATATAAATATATAGATACATAGATGATACATAGAGACTGACAGGCAGACAGAGAGGTAATAGAGAGAGAGAGAGATGATACATAGATACAGATAATACATAGATGATTGATGGATAGACAGATAGACAATTGATAGATAAATGATACATAGATATAGATGACAGATAATTTGTAGATAGACACAAAATAGATAGATAGATAATAGATAGAAATATGCAGAAAGTTATGAACAAGACAGAAAGTGAGAGACTCAGAATTATAGAAAAAGGAAGATCAAGTCAACCAATCCAAGGAGAGTCAGAGAGAATAAAACAATCCAAAAAGGGAAAGCATACCCAGGGGTGGGGAAGTGAGGTCAGAGACCTAGAGAGACAGAGAAGGCGGAAGGAGGAAATAGACATGAAGAGAGTTGGGGTGGAGGGTGAGAGAGAGAGAGAGCATTAGGTCATAGAGCAGGGGAGTGAGTTCTCAGCTCAGGTATGAGGGGAGCTGTGACAAGGAAGAACCTCCCTGAGGAAACTGCCTCTTCTCCTTCCAGGTCTATATGAGAAACCTTCTCTCTCAGCCCAGCCGGGCCCCACGGTTCAGGCAGGAGAGAACGTGACCTTGTCCTGTAGCTCCTGGAGCTCCTATGACATCTACCATCTGTCCAGGGAAGGGGAGGCCCATGAACGTAGGCTCCGTGCAGTGCCCAAGGTCAACAGAACATTCCAGGCAGACTTTCCTCTGGGCCCTGCCACCCACGGAGGGACCTACAGATGCTTCGGCTCTTTCCGTGCCCTGCCCTGCGTGTGGTCAAACTCAAGTGACCCACTGCTTGTTTCTGTCACAGGTGAGGAAAACCCGTGTCTGTCCCATGTCTTATGATCCTAGAGCCATAGCTGAGGAGCTTCCTGCCGATGATGGGGAGAAGCATGGACAGATGCAGAGAGAACACGAAGACTGGGTGTGAGGGGGGGGTCAGGGTGCAGGATGGCAGACAGGGCACCTCCAAACCCTCTTGCATGGCCTGCATGGAGGCCCATGGTCAGGGCTCCAGGCACCCAGGCAGATGGAGAAAGCGGTCAGGACAGACCCAGAGAAGGGGAGACTGGGCTCAGTTTGGGGAGATCAGAGGTTCCCTCAGCCCCTCAACCTTACCCATTTCCCAGAAGCCCATCCTGGCCTCTCACCCACACAGAGAGATGTCATCACCAGCAACCCCTACACTCTTTTCTTTTCATTTTCAAAAATATTTATTGAGGTTAAATGTAACTATATAATTTACCAACTTTACCATTTTTAAAAGTAAAATCTAGTGGTCATAAATACCTTTATATGCTGGGTGTGGTGGTTCACGGTTGTAATCTTGGCGCTTTGAGAGGCCAAGAAAGGTGGATCATTTAAGATCAGGGACTCGAGATCAGCCTGGCCAACATGCGGGAAATTCATCTTTACTAAACAGACAAGAAAAATTAGCCAAGCATGCCGGCATGCACCTGTAGTCCTAGCTACTTGGGAGGCTGAGGCAGGAGAAGCACTTAAAGCCAGGAGGCAGAGGTTGCACTGAGCCGAGATCATGCCACTGCACTGCAGCCTGGGAGACAGAGAGAGACTCTGTTTCTAAATAAATAAATACATCTATATTCTTTTTTTTGTTACCTTCCACCCTTCCCTTCCTGGCCTCTGGTATCCACCATTCTATTCTCTACCTTCATGAGATCCACCTTTTATCTCCTGCATGTGGTGAGAAATGGGAATCTTTGTAATGACCTCCAGTTCCATCCATGTGGCTGCAAATGACAGGATGTTATTGTTTCTATGGATGAGTAGTCTCCACCGTGTGTGTGTACTACAGTTCTCTATCCATTCACCCACTGATAGGCAGGTAGGTTGACTCCACATCTTGGCTACTGTGAACAGTGCTGGAACAGTCATATGAGTGCAGATATCACTTCGATACACTGATGTCCTTTCCTTTGGATATAAACCCAGTAGTGAAATTGCTGGACACTATGAAAGTTCTCTTTTTTTTTTTTTCTTTTTTGAGAAAGAGTTTCCCTCCTTAGTCCAAGCTGGAGTCAAAGTGGTGCGATCTTGGCTCATTGCAACCTCTGCTTCCTAGGTTCAAACGATTCTCCTGACTCAGCCTCCCTAATAGCTGTGATTACAGGTGCACGCCACCATGCCTGACTAATTCTTGTATTTTTTAGCACAGACGGGATATCCCAATTTTGGGCAGGCTGCTCTCAAACTCCTGACCTCAAGTGAGGTGCCTGCCTCGGTTTCCCAAAGTGCTGAAGTTACAGGCATAAGCCACTATGCCCAGCCTCCTTTTAGTTTTTTAAAGATTTTCCATACTTTTCTCCATAATAGTTGTACTAATTTACATTCCTACCAACAGGGTACCAGGGTTCTCCTTTCTCTACCATCTTGCCAGCATTTGTTTTGCCTGTCTTGCAGATAAAAGCCATTTTACTTTACTTTATTTATTTATTTATTTATGTTGAGATGGAGTTTCACTCATAGTCGCCCAGGCTGGAGTGCAAGGGTGTGATCTCGGCTCACTGCAACCTCTGCCTCCCGCGTTCAACTGATTCTCCTGCCTCAGCCTCCAAAGTAGCTGGGATTACAGGCATGTGCCACCACGCCTAGCTAATTTTTGTATGTTTAGTAGAGAGGGAGTTTCTCCATGTTGGTCAGGCTGGTCTCCCGACCTCAGGTGATCCGCCCACCTCCGCCTCCCAAAGTGCTGGAATTACAGGCGTGAGCCACCGGCCTAAAAGGCATTTTAATGGGATGAGATGAAAACTCATCGCGATTGTAATTTACATTTCTGTGATGATGAGTGATGCTGAGCACTTTTTCATATACGTGATCGCCATTTCTATGTTTTGTTTGTGGAGAAATGTCTCCTCATGTCTTTTGCTCGTTTTTTAATTAAATTGTTTTATTGAGTTGTTTGAGCTTCTTATATTTCCAGTTATTAATCCCATCTCAGATGAATAGTTTGCAAATATTTGCTCCTATTTTGTGGGTTGTCTCTTCACTTTGTTGGTTTATCTTTGGTGGTGCAGAAGTTGCTTGGTTTGATGTAATCCTAATGGTCTATTTTTTGCTTTGATTACTTGTGTTTTGAAGGTTTTAAACAAAATGTCTTTCATCAGACAAATGTCTTCCCCATTATTTTCTTCTACATGTTTCATAGGTTCAGGCCTTAGACTCATGTTTTTAATCCATTTTCATTTGATTTTTGTGTAAGGTGACAGGTATAGATGCAGTTTTATTCCTCTGCATGTAGATATCCAGTTTTCCCCACACCATTTATTGAAGACTGTCCTTTCCTGATTGTAAGTTCTCGGCACCTTTGTCAAAGTCCATTAAATGGGCTGGGTATGGTGGCTCACACCTGCAATTCCAGCACTTTGGGAGGCCGAGGCGGGTGGATCACCTAAAGCCAGGAGTTCAAGACCAGGCTGGCCAACAGAGTGAAACCTCGTCTCTACTAAAAATACAAAAATTAGCTGAGCATGGTGATCAGTGCCTGTAATACCACTACTCAGGAGTTTGAAGCAAGAGAATTTCTTGAATCCAGGAAGTGGAGGTTGCATTGAGCTGAGATTGCACCTCTACACTCCAGCCTGCATGACAGAGCAAGATTCTATCACACACACACAAAAGAAAGCCATTGGATGTAAATGCATGGATTATATCTGTGTTCTCCATTCTGTTCCATTTTTTATGTGCCTTTCTTTATGCCAATGTCATGCTGTTTTGCTTACTACAGCTCTGTAACATATTTCTAAGTCAGGTAGTGTGATGCTCCTGTTTTCTCTTTATACCTTCAAGTCTCAAGACAGTGGGCATCGCACACAAAAATTATGGAGAAAAGGATCCCAAGACTCCCAGGGTCCAACATTAGATAACAGAGTGTTGGCCATGAACCAACCTCAAAGATTTCCATTGAGTAGAGGACAAGCACCCTCATTTCCTCACATCTCTCCTGTCCCGTGTTCTAGGAAACCCTTCAAGTAGTTGGCCTTCACCCACAGAACCAAGCTCCAAATCTGGTGAGTAAAGGACCCCTCTTATCTCTGCTTTTGGAAACCTGGGGAGGTGGAAGCCTTGGATGCAAGTGTTGGCTCAAACCTCCCAGCTCTGTGAATGAGGGCCTGTCTTCCACCATCTCTGAACTCCAGACACTCCAACAGTGAAAGGGATCTAGGGCCACCAAAGGGCTCAGCGAAGTCTCTTTACCTTTAATTTCCTGCAGGTGAGACCTCCTACAAGCTAGAAGAATAATTGCCAATCTGACATCCTTCTCAGGAAAAATGCAGTGTTTTTTCTGCCTGCATTCCTAACTGGAGGATAAATTCCCGGGGGCTTGAGAGAGGGAAGGGAAGGGAACATCTGATGAGGGTGGGTGTTTTAGAGAAGTTCCACTTGCCAAGGAATGAATTACTGTTGGTCATCAGGCAACCCTGGCTGACTCAGCAGAGCAAGAGCCTTGCCGTAACAGAGAACAGAGCTCATGCACGCACACTTCGACTCAGTGACTCATTCAGCCACAGCCCCATGCTCAGGCTGTGCAGTGTGGAAGCTTTTCCTATTGTTGCCATAACAAATTTCCACAAGATTCGTGTGTGAAAACAAAACGGTTATTTAATTATCTTACAGTGCTGTAGCTCAAAGCATGACGTGCATGTCACTGGGCTAAAATCAAGGTGACAGCAAGGCTGCCTTCCCTCTGAGGGTTCCAGGCAAGAATCTGCTTCTCACTTTTCTCAGCTTCTAGAGGCTCCCATGTTCCTTGGCTCCTGGTACCCTTCCTCCTTCCTCAAAGCCCACAAAGACTGGTCACATCTCACATGGCATCACTCAGACCCTTCTTCCTTACCACACCTCTTTCTCTGAATGCTGCTCTCCCTTCTTGCCCTTCTTTTGAAAACTTGGGGATTCTATTGGGTTCACCAAGATGAAAATCCATCATAATCTCCCGGAAATCATCCAGGATACCCTCCTTTTAAGTTCAGCTGACTAGCAACCATAATTCCATCTGCAATCTTCATTCCTCCTTTCATGTAAAATAACATATTCACAAGCTATGGAGGCTAGGACATGGACATTTTTGGGGTGGGACAACATTCTCCTGCCTTCCACAAACAGTGAACAAGATGCATTTGGCCTCTGTTCTTGGGACACTGATCTTGCAGATGGTTAAATGGGAGGGCAGAAAATGTAGGCACAAGGGGACCAATAAATGAATGATCTATTGAGAAGCATCTGTGCATGAAATCTATTTATTTATGTATTTACCTACTTGTTTATTGAGACGGAGCCTTGCTCTGTCGTCCAGGCTAGAGTGCGGTGGCATGATCTCGGCTCACTGCAACCTCCACCTCCTGGGCTGAACTGATCTCCTCCCTCAGCCTCTCCAGTAGCTGGGATTACAGACCACAACCACCACGCCCGGCTAACTCTTTTTGCATATTTTCTGTAGAGAGGATGTTTCACCATGTTGGCCAGGCTGGTCTCAAATTCCCAACCTCAGGTGATCCAATAGCCTCTGCCTCCCAACACGCTGGGATAAGAGGCATGAGCCACGGGGCCAAGCCAAATTTTCAAATCAATAATAGATAATGCTGAGTGTATTATTTCAGGTGACAGAGAAGTTCTCACTAATCAGATATTTGTGACATTAATGAAAAACACGGATTGAACCCCTGAAAGATTGGCGGAAGGATTTTGCACACACAGCTGTCAGCCGTGAAGGCACAAAGGTGAAAACAATCTGATGTGGAAGGAAGAGGCTCTGACTCAAATGCTGGGAATGAGGTGGGGAGAATGACAAGATGACTGTAGAGAGACGGAGAGCACACTGGGTACACAGGAAACTAAGGAGCAACAAGGAGCGTGTGTTTGACACTCACAGCCATTGGATTCACCTCGAGGTAACCAGGAATCCCTACATGATTAATATGACTGACATGAAAATAAGGGAGGCTCAGTTGCATAACTGGAATCTAGGAGACCGTGGAAAAGGCAATTGCCGCCCCACTGGTGAAATGTGGTGCTGATTTAGACACTAAATGAATGAAGTAGATGGATATAAGATATGTTTGTGAGGTAGAATCATTGGCTGGAAAGGCTTGCTGGGTTTAATTTTTCCTGGTAGTTTAATCCTCGCTTCACTAACTTATTTCTGAGATTTATTTCTCCTGCATCTAAATCAATACCTGGCAGAGGAGGGAGAGCTAGATGAGGGGTGGTGCAAATGAAGGGACCTAGTATAGCATAATATACAAGGCTGTGAACGGTGGCTCACGCCTGTAACCCAGCACTTCAGGAGGCCAACGCGGGTGGATCACATGAAGTCAGGAGTTCGAGACCAGCCTGGCCAACATGGAGAAACCCTATCTCTACTAAAAATACAAAAATTAAACAGGCATGATGGTGGTGCATGACTGTAATCCCAGCTACTCTGGAGGAGGAAGCAGGAGAATGACTTCAGCCCTGGAGGCAGAGGTTGCAGTGAGTGGAGATCGCATCACTGCACACCAGCCTGGGCTACACAGGGATACTCTGTCTCAAAAAATAAAAATAAAAAATACATAAATATAATAATATACACAAATGATGCAGGCACCTGAATTCCAATCATCATTTTTCTATTCCTCTATAATTACTTCTTTGATCCTTTATCTTATCCATTAGAAAATCAGCCTAAAACCTCTTCCATATTTGGCTTTCTGTGAACATGAGATCATATGGAAAATATGAAAGCCCCCTGAACCCACCAGCACAGGCCCTGAAATAGGGAAAGTGCTCTGTTCATCACAAGAAACTTTCCCCCTCACCCAAATCCCCCACCTCACCCCTACTTCCAATCACCTGTGGAGATACAGATAGATCATGGGGAGGTAAACGCTAATACTCCTTGGAGTGAGTTCAGATCTTGGAATCAGAGATCAGCACCAGCACTAGCTCCTGCTCCCCTTTCCTACTAATTCACAGGAGGACAGGTGGTTTTGAAGCAATAGATGGTGGAGGGGGTGGTCTTTCCCCCAGCCTCTCAGGTGGAACAGCAGCCTAACATGTGTCTCGCGAGATCACAAAGAGTAGCACGTTTCACATGGGCTTCATCATTATTTCCTGGCTGTTTGACATAAGAGAATTCTACTTTGCTTTTTTGATCTTGATTTCACTTTTGTGTCCTTTTCTTGGAGAATGTAATTTGAGTCAAGAGGGTTGTGGATGTAGAAACTGTAAAGCACATTCACTGTGTATCAATCCCAGTCCAGTCTTTCCAGAGAAGACTCTAAACACCTGCTGTACTGCACCTGGGCCTATGCCAATTTCTATCACTCACCGTCACTCCAGGGAGACAGAACACACAGAGAATACGTTACATAGGCAGGTTCATTACTAACAGATAAGCAGCGAGTGACAACAGAAGCCTACATTTCAACGTGAGCCAGTCCCTCAAGGCTCAGAAAAGCTGCTCGGGACATATGGAGTCACCTCATTTGCAGTGTATCTGGGGGAAGCCAGAAAATAGCCCAGCCTGGGTTTTGTACCCTGAAGCCACAGGAAGCACTCAGCTAAAGCACTGCATGACGTCCTCCTCCAGGAAGAACAGGAAGACAGCACAGGCTGTTCTGAGACGTTCCTCCTGATCTCAGGACGTTGCTGTCTTAGTCCATTTTTGTTGCTATAAAAGAACACTTGAGCCTGGGTTACTTCTTTTTTTTTTTTTTTTTTTTTTGTATAGTGCTTCTGATGAGCTTTTTTTTAAAATTTTTATTATTATTATACTTTAAGTTTTAGGGTACATGTGCACAATGTGCAGGTTAGTTACATATGTATACATGTGCCATGCTGGTGTGCTGCACCCATCAACTCGTCATTTAGCATTAGGTATATCTCCTAATGCTATCCCTCCCCCCTCCCCCCACCCCACAACAGTCCCCAGAGTGTGATGTTCCCCTTCCTGTGTCCATGTGTTCTCATTGTTCAATTCCCACCTATAAGTGAGAACATGCGGTGTTTGGATTTTTGTCCTTGTGATAGTCTACTGAGAATGATGATTTCCAATTTCATCCATGTCCCTGCAAAGGACATGAACTCATCATTTTTTATGGCTGCATAGTATTCCATGGTGTATATGTGCCACATTTTCTTCATCCAGTCTATCATTGTTGGACATTTGGGTTGGTTCCAAGTCTTTGCTATTGTGAATAGTGCCACAATAAACATACGTGTCCATGTGTCTTTATAGCAGCATGATTTATAGTCCTTTGGGTTTATACCCAGTAATGGGATGGCTGGGTCAAATGGTATTTCAAGCTCTAGATCCCTGAGGAATCGCCACACTGACTTCCACAATGGTTGAACTAGTTTACAGTCCCACCAACAGTGTAAAAGTGTTCCTATTTCTCCACATCCTCTCCAGCACCTGTTGTTTCCCGACTTTTTAATGATCGCCATTCTAACTGGTGTGAGATGGTATCTCATTGTGGTTTTGATTTGCATTTCTCTGATGGCCAGTCATGGTGAGCATTTTTTCATGTGTTTTTTGGCTGCATAAATGTCTTCTTTTGAGAAGTGTCTGTTCATGTCCTTTGCCCACTTTTTGATAGGATTGTTTGTTTTTTTCTTGTAAATTTGTTTGAGTTCATTGTAGATTCTGGATATTAGCCCTTTGTCAGATGAGTAGGTTGCGAAAATTTTCTCCCATTTTGTAGGTTGTCTGTTCACTCTGATGGTAGTTTCTTTTGCTGTGCAGAAGCTCTTTAGTTTAATTAGATCCCGTTTGTCAATTTTGGCTTTTGTTGCCGTTGCTTTTGGTGTTTTAGACATGAAGTCCTTGTCCATGCCTATGTCCTGAATGGTAATGCCTAGGTTTTCTTCTAGGGTTTTTATGGTTTTAGGTCTAACGTTTAAGTCTTTAATCCATCTCAAATTAATTTTTGTATAAGGTGTAAGGAAGGGATCCAGTTTCAGCTTTCTACCTATGGCTAGCCAGTTTTCCCAGCACCATTTATTAAATAGGGAATCCTTTCCCCATTGCTTGTTTTTCTCAGGTTTGTCAAAGATCACATAGTTGTAGATATGTGGCATTATTTCTGAGGGCTCTATTCTGTTCCATTGATCTATATCTCTGTTTTGGTACCAGTACCATGCTGTTTTGGTTACTGTAGCCTTGTAGTATAGTTTGAAGTCAGGCAGCATGATGCCTCCAGCTTTGTTCTTTTGGCTTAGGATTGACTTGGCAATGCAGGCTCTTTTTTGATTCCATATGAACTTTAAGGTAGTTTTTTCCAATTCTGTGAAGAAAGTCATTGGTAGCTTGATGGGGATGGCATTGAATCTATAAATTACCTTGGGCAGTATGGCCATTTTCACGATCTTGATTCTTCCTACCCATGAGCATGGAATGTTCTTCCATTTGTTTGTATCCTCTTTTATTTCATTGAGCAGTGGTTTGTAGTTCTCCTTGAAGAGGTCCTTCATATCCCTTGTAAGTTGGATTCCTAGGTATTTTATTCTCTTTGAAGCAATTGTGAATGGGAGTTCACTCATGATTTGGCTCTCTGTTTGTCTGTTATTGGTGTATAAGAATGCTTGTGATTTTTGTACATTGATTCTGTATCCTGAGACTTTGTAGAAGCTGCTTATCAGCTTAAGGAGATTTTGGGCTGAGACAATGGGGTTTTCTATATATACAATCATGTCATCTGCAAACAGGGACAATTTGACTTCCTCTTTTCCTAATTGAATACCCTTTATTTCCTTCTCCTGCCTAATTGCCCTGGCCAGAACTTCCAACACTATGTTGAATAGGAGTGGTGAAAGAGGGCATCCCTGTCTTGTGCCAGTTTTCAAAGGGAATGCTTCCAGTTTTTGCCCATTCAGTATGATACTGGCTGTGGGTTTGTTATAGATGGCTCTTATTATTTTGAGATACGTCCCATCAATGCCTAATTTATTGAGAGTTTTTAGCATGAAGCGTTGTTGAATTTTGTCAAAGGCCTTTTCTGCATCTATTGAGATAGTCGTCCGGTTTTTGTCTTTGGTTCTGTTTATATGATGGATTACATTTATTGATTTGCATATATTGAACCAGCCTTGCATCCCAGAGCCTGGGCAACTTCTAGAGAAAACAGATTTGTTTGCCTCACAGTTCTGCAGGCTGTACTGGAAGCATGGCACCAGCATCTGTTTCCTGTGACGGCCTCAGGCTGCTCCCACTCTGGCAGAAGGGAAGGAGGGTCTGTCTGTGCAGAGACCACAGAGATCACAT